>NC_000001.11:57584138-57735653 GCF_000001405.40 Homo sapiens | reverse complement strand
AAATCAGAAATTTTCTAACTAAAAAAAAAAAAAAAAAAAAAAAACAAGCAAACAGAATGGGAAAGTGAACATCTAACCCAAAGGAGTGGATTCACTCTTTTGTCTCCTCTGCTTGACAGTAAGCTTCTTACTAGAGAGGCATTTTATCTTGCTTGGTTTTCATCCTAGCTGCTAGCACACCACCTGACATATAGGCAGTACTTATTAAATAATTACTGAGTGAATGACTGCTTAAATGAATGAATGGTGTATACAATTATTTCTCATTTTTTCATTGAAACTTCAAACCTCCAGTGAGATAGGCAGGGGCAGGAATTATTCTTATTCACAATTTATAGAGCAGAAACTGAAGTCCAGATAGGTGATGGGTCCAGATAGGTCACATAGCAAATCAGTAGCAGAACCAGTAGTAAAAACTTGGTCCCTTAATCACAAAGGCAGTCGTCTTTTCAATTCTTCACCTAGTCTCACTTCTTCTCCTTCATTTTAGTCTTCACTTGGTCTCCAAAATTATGCTTTGGAATGGAAATGGCATTGGGGAATTGAAGGACTGAAAACAAAGCTTTTCCTCAATCAAAACCATGAAATCCCTAAATGAAATGGGAGGCATTGAATTCCCTGATACAGATATCAATGTAGTAGAAGAAAAGTGAATGACAGATATGAAATTAATGGCATTTAAATGTATGCAGTTACAATAGAAAACAATTCTTCTGGAATGCCTTCCTGAGGCTTTGATATGTAGTGGTAATTAAAAGAGCTCCTTTAAATCATTTATTATAATTATGTTTTAAATGATCCAGTCCTGAATGTAGCTTGCTTTTTGTTGTTTACTGGTAGCTGGTGACATTTGGAATTGACTAGACATTTGCAATAATTTGACTACTTTTCATATACACAGAACTGAACTGCCTCTGCAATTGAATTGGAAAAGTATATCCCGTCCCCTGGGGACCCCTCACTTCCCTGCCTAGTGATCTGATAACACTCCTAGGGCCAAAAGAATCAGCAAGGGTTAAGCGAAGTTGAAACTTAAGTTCAGGCACATTGTGCAACTTTCAAAGGTAAAAAAGGTATTATGAAAAAAAAGTGGAGAATGGAATAGATGCTTCAGTTTCAAGATTTGACCCTCTGTGGATCCAGACTGATTTCAACTGAAGTTGTCAGAGTTGGCTAAAACCTTATGCTAATGGGGTTGGAGTTATAAATCCAATCCTCAAGCTGGTCATTTTTCTCTATATATTACCTTTTATCTTTGTTTTATGATTTGTGGCTTATTGGTAAAGAAAGTAAGGCTCAGAGAGCTTAAGAGGTTTGCCTAAGACAATACAGCTCATAATGAATTGGGGCTGGGGAAGGTATGACTTTTAATTCTGAGTTGAGTGACTTCTCCAGCATAAAAGTGTGCCCCCATTTGAATAGCTGGGTTCAGAGCAGTGAGGTGACTCAGTTGCCCAAGGGCACACCATGAATGGCAAGGACGAGACTTTACACAAAGTTTGTGAACAAAGTTTCAAGATAAAAGACTGGATTTTTTTTTTTATCCACGCCTCCTGAGTCCACATTTAGGATTCTTTTCACTAAGGCACAGCTGCCTGGCTTAGATAAATCAAGCAGGTGCAACCCTGGGGGCTGGGTGAAAGTCATGCCTGGGTTGGTGGAAATAATCTCCTCCAAATATGGGGCTGAGTCCCAAGGAAATGCCCACCTTTCCTGAACTCCTAAGATAATTTCTGGGACCCTTCCTGATCATTTCCCTTCCCTGTGCTGCTTCTTCTTCAGGAGGACACCCAAAGCCACCTAGAGATCAGGGCATGGATTCCCCCCATGCTGACTCTTCCCTCTGCCATCTCCCCCATCTCACTCCCCACTTTCTCTTTCTCAATCTCTCTGCCCTTCTTCTCCTTCAGACCCTAATCCTCTTCTGGAAAAGCAGGGGCTTCCTCTATGTTAACATTTGGCAAATCGCTCGACCTCTCTGAGCCTCAGGTTCTCTATTGTAAAAGAGTATCTCTAAATTGCTAATATCTATACTGAGGGCAGATCCCTGGACATATTTACATTTGTGCCTCCAGGACCCAATTTGGCTCCTATGCATAGTAAATAAATGACCAAATCTTGTAAGGTCCTTGGAAGGTTTAGATGAGATAAACTGGCTTAGCATAAGTCTTCTTACATATTAAGTGCTTGCTTCATTCTTTCATATATGGAAAATCCACTGAGGGCCTACAGCATGTCAGAATTGTTAGGAACTTTGGATATATCAATGAATGAAACAGCTACAGATCCCTGCCCTCATGGAACTTACATTCTAGGAAGGCAAGACAGACAATAAATAATAAGCCTACTAGATTAGTAAAGTATATAGTACATTAGCAAGTAGTAAATACTGTTGAAAAAGTTTTGAAATTCAGCAGAGTAATGGCTATCAGGTGCGGGGTTAGGAGAGCAAGTTGCAATTTTAAATAGGGTAGTTTAGGGCAGCCTCACAGAAAAAGTAACATTTGAGTTCAGTGGTTGATTTCCTTATCTTCACTTTTTCCCCTCTCTGTCTTTTCGTTCCTTAATCCAAGTCCTTGGTATATAGCTCTTGTTTTCCTGACAAGATTAGAACTTGTTGGAAAGAGTAGGCACCTAGTCATATTGTACTCTCTACAGAACTGTCTACATAATTTGCAGGGCACCATGCAAAAGGAAAATCAGGGCCCTTTGCTTAAAACTTATTATGAATTTCAAAATAACAATGGCAGAGCCTTAAACCAAGAATAGGTTCCTTCTTCACAAGTCATAAAGGTACATGAAGTGGCTGGCTGTGGCCTCCAGAGATCTGTCATTATTGTAATTGCATTGACCCAGGACCAGTCTCTCCTCTCTCCTGTTCGACGCACCATGAGGGAGCCTCCCTGCCTGCTTTCTACCTTCACTTTGTCCTGTCCCGGACAGCAGTCAGCCTCATTTCTCACAAGTCTTCCTCACTACCCTTTTCTCCTGCCCTGCAGCTAAACCTGACACACAGGTGATGATGGATTTTTAAAGCCAGCAACTGTCCTTAGGAATCAGTAAACCTTCCTGCACCATGAGTTTATTTTCTCCAGATTTAATAGCAAAGGAACATAAGTAGGTGGAGGGTTGAGGATTTATTTCCTTCTGATAATCAAGAGTACTCTCTCCAGTAGTGCCACTTACCCGATGAATCGTAGCAATTGGTCTCAACACTGATGAGCCTCTCTCCGCCTGCTCAGGCTGCTCTGATCCTGACACTTAGCCGTCTCTCCCTACCGTGCCTGGTCCAGCACTAGACTGCACAGTCGACAGTAGTGGAGTTTGCCTTCAGTGCACAGCACTTCCCACTTTCCCCCTTTCCTTTACCACACTTGCCCCCACCCTAATGGTAGCTAGGGCAGAGGTTTTCATCTGCATCTTCCAGGTGAGGCCATGGAGGGCCAAAAACTAACCTGACCTGCATGATACCCCCACAATAATTGCCCTGGGATTTTCAACCAGATCAGCTGACTCCACCACCACTGTTCTTCCCAAGATTGGCTTGTTATGTGTGCCTTTATTCTGCATGCCCTCCTGCCTCCTCTGAAAGGAATTGACTACAGGATTCTCATTCCAGAATGCCCTTCCCTACCCATACCCTTATCTTAAAAATCACATGAAGTCCTGGAGACTGGAGGCTCTGAAATGCAGTTGGTCCCTTGCTCGGATGCATATTATTATGAAGAAGGAAAGATAATTCTCAAACACATATGTTTCGGATTGTAAGTAAACAGGAGGGACTGAAAGAAACTGTAAGGAGTGTACTTGTGATATTTACTCATCAATTATTATTATTATTTTTTTTTTGAGACAGCATCTCACTCTGTCACCCAGGTTAGAGTGCAGTGATGTGATCTCGGCTTACTGCAACCTCCGCCTCCTGGGTTCAAGCGATTCTCATGCCTCAGCCTCCTGAGTAACTGGGATTACAGACATGCACCACCATGCCTGGCTAATTTTTGTATATTTAGTAGAGACGGGATTTCACCACGTTGGCCAGGCTGGTCTCGAACTCCTGACCTCAGGTGATCTACCTGCCTCGGCCTCCCAAAGTGTTGGGATTACTTACAGGTGTGAGCCACTGCATCTGGCCTAATTATTAATTCTTTTTTTTCATTTTTTATTGTGGTAAGATATACATAGCATAAAACAACATTTTGATCATTTTTAATTATACAGTTCTGTAGAATTCACATTGTTGTGTGACCATCACCACCTTCCAACTCCAGAACATTTTTCATCTTCCCTAACTGATACTCTGTACTCATTAAACAATAATTCCCCACCCCCAGGCCCTGTCCCCTGGAAACCACCATCCCACTGTCTGTCTTTATGAGTTTGACTAATATTCTACTTCCTCATGTAAGTGGAATCATGCAATATTTGCCCTTATGTGACTGACTATTTTACTTAGTATTATGTCTTCATGGTTCATCTATGTAGTAGCTTGTCTCAAAATTTCCTTGCTTTTCAAGGCTGAATAGTAATTCATTGTATGCTTATGCAATATTTTGTTTATCCATTCATCTATCTCTGGACATTTGGGTTGCTTCCACCTTTTAGTTCCTGTGCATAATGCTGTTCTGAATATGGGTATACAAGCATCTGTTCCAGTGCCTGTTTTTAATTCTTTTGTGTATATACTGGACTGACTGGATCAAATGCTAATTCCATGTTTAATTGTGTGAGGAACTGCCATATCATTTTCCATAGAGGATGCACCCTTTTACATTCCCATCAGTAATGCACCAGAATTCCAGTTTCTCCATATCCTCACCAACACTTATAATTTTCTGGGGTTTCTTCGTAATAGCCATCTGAATCAGTGTGAAATTGATATTTACTGAGTCTTTTATTCATCTATCTGTCTACCAAACCACAATGGGAACTGACTTTGATTCTGTAGATCAGAGAGGAAGAAAGCCCAGTCTTGTCCTGAAGGAGTTCAATGCCTCATGTGAGAAGTAAAGATCAATATTCAAAGTTCCACAACCATGTCTACCTCCTCATGCCCAAAATCTATAGGCCCTCCACTGACCTTGGTTTATAATGACTACGTATCCTTCCAAAACTCCCCCTTCAGGCCCCCTTAAGTTTGGAGACATCTACACTTGGTTTGAATTAGAGAAAAAAGGAAGAGTTCTCTTGCCCTCTTCGCTCTGACTAGTTGAACACATCTTCTGATTCTCTCCTTCTAGGAGGAAATTTAAGGAGATTTAATGGGAGATTTGAGAGTAGCTGCTCAGGAGTTAAGAGCTTTGGAGGCAGCAGCTCTGGTTCCAGGTTCCTGCTCCACAGTTTTACAGATATGACAGTATCCTAACAGAACAAGTGTATTAATGCCCCTGAACCTCTTGTTTTCTCTCTTTCTGGGCTGTGTACAAGATTAAGTGAGTTAATATAGGCCTCCACCTATGTGACATTGTCCTGAACACTTTTGCCCAATGACAAGCATTGTCTGAAACTCAGAGCACTGACTTACACCCAGTAGGTGCCCAGTTTGAGAGGAAATTAGAATTTGATGACTGGTGCTTTATAACCCAATAACAGAGCATAGTAGATAAGACCAGAGACAATGATGTCTATCAGACCTGGGCACAGATCCTGGCTCCCCAGCTGCCACCTGATTCAGCTTAACTGTGCTGTGTCTCTGTTTTGAAAAGCAGGGATAATAATAGTGCCTTTAATAAGATTTTATTTTATTTTATTTTATTTTAGAGATGGGGTCTCACTATGGTGCCCAGGCTGATATTGAACTCCTGGCCTCAAGCGATCCTCTGGCCTTAGCCTCTTAAAGCACTGAGATTACAGGTGTGAGCCACCATGCCTGGACATAAGGTTCTTATATAAAACACTTAGAAAATAACAGATGTTGCCCTCACTGTTGCTGACGAAATTATAATGTTTGCAGAAGGCAGAAATAATACAGGCAGGGATAAATCAGCTACTTGTCCCCTGCCTGCCAGCATGCCATTCTCTGTCTTCTGGAGAGCCACTGAAATATGTATTTCTAGAGACCAGGAGATTCTGTGAGGTAGTAGTGTAAACAAGGCTTTTATCTGCTCTGCTCTGTCATTTATGTGGCTTCTCAGTTCTCCCCCTACCAGTGCCCACCTGTTCCTTATCCCCAACTCCTTACCTTTGCCTGGACAGCTGTGGCCAAAGTCCTCCTTATCCTTCCTCCCTTTCAGTGCAGAGAGGATGTGGCGGGCAGCGGGGCGGACTGCTAGAGGCACATCACCTGCCGCTGGGCTCATATGTGACACCCTGTGAGCTCAGGGATGTGGGGGACTGGCTGCCTCCAGTAGTAGCCAGCATGGACGGCAGAGGAACATACACAGCCATTGCTTCTGGATGCCAGATCTGGCGCATTCTGCATCCAAATAACATTTCATACAGGAACCGTTGCCCCACACCAGGGCAGGACCAAACTTCCTTAAAGCCACATTTTCTGTGGATACGTGCTTACCTGGTTTTCCCCATTGGAATTACTGCAACTTAACAGTTCCCCAACCCAGTCCTCCATCTCTAATAAAATGTAAAATTATACATTAGGTACTTCATTAATTCTGGAAAATACCTAAAGCTATTATCTGCAATGAGAACACTACATGAGTCACCTACAAAGTCGACATAAGCATAATTAGTTACAACAAAAGATAAAAGACAGGCTAATAACATTGACAGGGCTTTTACCATGCCTGGCATGATGTTTCAAATACGTCATCTCATGGAAATCTTACACTATAGAAATGGGAGTGCCATTATTGATCCCATTTTGCAGATGTGGAAGATGAGGTATGAAGATGAGAAAGGTGTTCTAGTTTTCTTCTTCAGGTAGGAAGAGCAACTACTTGATTTTGGTTTCTTTTGAAAATAGTTTTCCCACAACAGGAAGATATATAGATTCTAAAGTATCATTTTGTGTATTACCAGTAAAGCTCCCACCACCTCCTCACACCCCAACCACTGATATCACATCTCAGGGGGTGGTTTTTTTTTGTTGTTGTTTTTTTTTGAGACGGAGTCTTGCTCTGTGGCCCAGGCTGGAGTACGGTGACGTGATCTCGGCTCACTGCAAATTCTGCCTCCCGGGTTCACGCCATTCTCCTGCCTCAGCCTCCTGAGCAGCTGGAACTACAGGTGCCCGCCACCACGCTGGGCTAATTTTTTTGTATTTTTAGTAGAGCCGGGGTTTCACCGTGTTAGCCAGGATGGTCTCGATCTCCTGACCTCATGATCTGCCTGCCGTGGCCTCCCAAAGTGCTGGGATTACAGGCGTGAGCCACCGCACCCGGCCAGGGGGTGTTCTTTTAACTATACTTCATGTCCAATATTGTATTTGCTAAGCTAAGTTTGTGAACTAACCAAACTAAGCAGAACAGACTTTGGTTTTAATGCAGAAAAAAACAGGCACATGCATATCTCTTCTGATACAATCTCTTTGCAGCACACAGAGGTCACCTTTGAGCCCAGACAACATCCGGTAGGTCAGGGTTTTCTAAAGTGTCTTTGGTAGACCATCAATATCATTAACTTCTCTATAAGAAAGGAAGTCCCTGGACAAACAGTTTTTAGAAATGCTCCTGCTGAACACTGGGCAGGAGACTTCAAGAACCATAGCTTATGAGGCCCACTTTCTTCCTCCTACATCTGTCTGACACCCTCCTCCACCCTACTCCCAGCCTTGAAAATGAAACTTGTCTGGTCCTTATTTATCTGCATCTCTGTGATTTGCTGAGCCAGATATTGTGAAAAGGTGGCACTTAAGAGTTAAATGTAGGAATTAAGCAGGATTTTCCAACCACACTCCATTATGAGAGACAGAGGGAGAGAAGGGGAGAGAGGAAGAGAGGAAGGAAGGAAGGAAGGAAGGAAGGAAGGAGAGAAGGAAGGAAGCAGAAGAGGGTGAGAAACAGAGAAAAAGAGAGAAAGGAGAAAGAGAAGAGGAGAGAGAAAGTGAGATTGTCTACTGTCTCTAGAGATGTGCAGCAAGATTTATCTCTCAATAAATTATGAAAGTGGCTCCAGGATCCAGAAGCCATTTATGGAACATTCCCAGTGATACAGACAGAATCCCATTCATCATGATCACGTTGCCATCCCTGCCTGGCCTACCTGTGATTGCAGCGGATTACAGATGTGCCATCTAATAGCCAGGTAATAAGATGTGAAGGAACAGGTGACGCACAGGCTTAGTCTAATGCATGCCATCACTTAGCAGCACTCGCCACCGACTGCTATTCCTGTGGGTGCCCACAAAGTTGTGTAAACAGCTGCTGAGCTTTAACACATCAATTATGGTTAGGAAACTTCTCAGTGGAGCAGTTAGGCCTGCCTGACATCTCTTGAAAATAGCAGTGCCCATGTGCTGGCTTGAACTTCCTGTCCCATAGCTTAATTTTAGTGTGAGATGTAAGTAAATATTTTGGAATAATGAGAGTCTGGGCACTTCCTTTTCTGGATTTCAAAGTTGAATTGCAGCTGCAGTCACCTCTAGCCAAGAGTATTTCAATGGTCTCTGACTCGCTGGTCTTTCTGGTTCCACATTGTTTCTCGCCATCATTCTTGCTCATGGCTGCCTTAGTGTTCTTTTCATAAATTCACACTCAACTGGTCACTTCGTTTTTTAAAACCTACAGAGCACTCCTTTGGATAAGATCCACTATCCATTTTTAGCTTATGCGTCCAGTTTTAGCCCTGGTTTTCCTTATCCCTTTGCTGCCAGAATGATCATTCTCAAACAGAAATCTGATCCCATCAGAGGTAGTTTACAGTAGTGACTAAGACAGTGAACTTGGCAGCCAGGTTGCCTGGGTTCAAATACTGATGCTGTCACTTTTGAGCTACATGATTCTCAGCAAGTTACTTAACTTCTTTGCGGCTTAATTCTCCCCATCAACAAAATGAAGATGTTTAATAAGAATAGAAATTAAGGTTGTTTGTAGTATTAAATGAGGATCATGTACATGAAGTGTTAAGTATATAAAGTGTTTAGAACAGCACCTGACTTCAACACTTAATACTCTTTAGCTGCAATGGTAATAATTTTCTTTCCTCAAAATAAAGCCCAAGATCCTTCACTTTTATTCAAAGCCTCCTTGATGTGCACCTGCCTTTCTCTGTGGCCTCATTCTCAATTTCCATCATGTAGAACTAGTTTACATTTCCCAGTGCATCCTAGCTGTATCCCATGCCCCTTGGTACTACCTGTCCTGTTCCCATTCAATGAAAGGCTTTCCTAGTCCCTATTCCTGATGGTCAGGCACATTTCTATTTAATATCCAGAACTCAGTCCAGTAAGCAATCTCCCTTCCACTCTTAGAGCCTGCTGTGATAGATGAAGTGATGACTTGTTTCCTTATGCCACTATTCTGCTTTGTGCATCCCTTCCACCTTGGCTGATCACACCCTGTTACAACTTTTACTTTACTCTTCTATTTTCTCCCCTAAGTCACAAGCTCTTCAAAGTTAGTAACTACCCATCCCTGTATCTCCAAGAACTAGAACATGGCCCAGGTGTGCTAGTTCAATGGGAGATTACTGAAAGAACAGATAGGCCGGGCACGGTGGCTCCCACCTGTAATCCCAGCACTTTGGGAAGCTGAGGCAGATGGATTGCCTGAGCTCAGGAGTTCAAGACCAGCCTGGGCAACATGGTGAAACCCTGTCTCTACTAAAAATACAAAAGCATTAGCCAGGCGTGGAGGTATGTGCCTGTAGTCCCAGCTACTTGGAAGCCTGAGGCAGGAGAATTGCTTGAACCCGGGAGACAGAGGTTGCAGTAAGCTGAGATCGCGCCACCGCACTCCAGCCTAGGCAACAGAGTGAGACTCTGTCTCAAAAAAAAAAAGAAAAGAAAAGAACAGTTAAATGAATTTCTTCAGCTAGATGTATTAAGCCTGTTCTCTAATCATAATGGTAATAATATTATTATTTAAAGTGTATTTACCAAGTGCTAGGCCCTGAACTAAATGCTTCTCTTTCCTTATCTGATACAATGTTCCCAAGTAGTCTGTGAAGTAGTGTCAGCTGTCAGATCCCCACAAAGACCATCAGAAACACCTGCTGATTAAGCAAAGCTATGTTAATGAAACTACTGTTGCAAGGAGAGCACCACCTTAGCCGAGTATAAGTAGTATCTCTGAAGGGGAAGGTCAGGGGAAGGCAGGTATGAAGTTTTAGGGCCTGGAGAACTGGCTGGGATTGAGCAGAGTATACACCATCACGACTCCGGGTTGGTGGGCCCAGCGAGGTGAGGATTCTCATGTGAGTCTTGGAGAGAATGCTGTGAGTCTTGATAAGCTATTTTAATTTGTTCTCATTTTTTATCTTCCAAAAGCAAGTATTTGGGGAGCAAGTAATCGTTCCTGCATGATTTCAGAATTGTTAAACATAGAGATAGGAAAATAGGTATGTCATGGTTCATAGTGTTATTATTGTTATCGCTTTCCCAAGTTGAGGGAAACTAGCCCATGGCTAGTAAATGATGGGTCGGGAACCACACCCGGGTTTGTATTAGGCCACAGCCCTTGTACTTGACCACTGTACTATGCTGTCTCTCCTGGCACCGAGTTTACATTTCTTTGACTGCACCTAGCACTTTCTACCTTGTATCAGTTACTTGGCTAACTTGTACTTGGGTAGTCTTACAGTAGTGGATAGCTTGCTTGCATTCATTCATCTGTGTATTGATTCCTTCATCATTTAATGAGCAGCACCTATGTGGCAGACACTGTGCCACATAGGTGGCACTAAGGAGTGGGGGATAGTCACCCTCCAGAATTCCAGGGAGATGGGGCAGTAGGAGAATTAAGGGAAGCAGGCAAGCTTGGTAGAGCTGCTCCCCTTCTTCTTTCTTGACCAGCAGGAGGCTGGGCTGCATTCTCAGAGAGGTCTGCTCATGGCAGAAGTTCTTAGGATGGGAGCTCAGACAAAGAGAAAGAATAGGCCTCCTGGGGGAGAAGGGAGCCCGCAAGATGACCAAAGGCTGTGCAATTTGTAACATGACTATTTCCCATTAAGCTTCTGATTTTTATTGAAATTACCAAACTCACTCATTTCAGAATTTCACTCCTGGTTTGATGCAGGGAGCATGCAAAAGTTAATAGGCATTCTCCAGGGAGGAGCAAGGCAAAGGAATCGGTAAGACAAAGCAATCTGCTACATCTGTCAATTTTCCCAGTGACTAAGGGCAGGATCTCTCCCTCTGAGGACTTCCTCTGTCCCTTTCTTCTTGCCTCCCTCCCTTCCCTCCCTTCCCCTCCCCTCCCCTCTCTTCCTTCCTTCCTTCCTCCCTCCCTCCCTCCCTTCCTTCCTTCCTTCGTTCCTTCCTTCCTTCCTTTTTCCCTCCCTCCCTCCCTTCCTTTCTTTCTTCCTCCTGCACCATCTTGATCCGCAACAGCTCCTGCCCAGAGAATTTGAAAGTGTAAGTGAAAACAGAATGCAAATCAGAATGATCCTACATTTAAAATCAAGAATGAACTACCACCAACAATTACTACCCCGGCTTGTCCATCCATCAGCAGGAAGTTCACTTACCCTTGTCTCTGATTCATAGCTATAAACGTTCTGCGTTTCCTTCCTAGCTAATCTTCAGCTTTTATTTTGACAGGATTGAAGCAGAAAAACAGGCAGAAAGAAAGACTAAACTAAAATTGGAATTGAAAATAGTTACAGGTTTTTTTCTTGAATATGAAATGCTACTAGCTGAAATAGAATGAAGCCCACAATAGTTTTTGCTTCACTCATCTGCCATTTTAACAAACTCCTACAAGCTGGAAATCAAAAAGGGCCAATCAATAACATTCCTAACAGAACCCTGAGAGCAGTAGAAACAAAAAAAAGCCATGTGGGTTTATCCTCCAGAAAAATGTAGCCACAATCAGCTAATTGGGAGCACCACATATCTGCATATAGGAACTAAGGATAAGAGAAGCCAGGGACAAGGGCTTGGGGGAAAAGAAAACAAAACTGCTTTGATGACTGAAGGCTTTCCACATCTCCACTCCTGCCATTTGTCTGTGAATGCAGAGAATTCCCAGTGATTGTGAGAAAAGCTTTGCACTAGCCAAGCTAGCCTGAGAGAAGGCTCTGTCCTGCAAACCCAAAGTTGTCTTCGTGAAGGATAAAATACTCTTTTTGGATTTGGTATAGGGTTTGAGAGCATAAGACAGAGACAGAAGCAAACAAGCACAGACAAATGGCATAAGGCTGTGAAACAGGCATGCATTCATAAACAGGCGTATCAGAAAAAACATTCATATGAGTACATAGAACTAAAAATACATGTAATAGCTGACATTTGTTGAGCATGTATTCAGACAGAGCCAAGTGATATTTCTAAGTGAAGTAAGCAAAGAACAGAGAGTTTAAGAAACTTGCCCGTGGTCACACAGCTCATTTGGAAGCTTCAAGTCTACTTTAGCTATGGAATTTAAATGAAAAAAAGTTTTCTAGTCAAAAAGTTGACTAGAAAATTAGACAAGTTGACTAGAATTAAATTTGGAGGGCCTGGGAGCTGAGAATTGGGCAACTAAGATTGCAATATCAGTGGTAGAGTAAAGAGCTTGGTTTTTATCCAGCAGGCCATGAACAGCCATTGAAAGCTTTTGGAGATGGGAGCAACATACTCACAGAGTGCACTGAAATGATCCCTCTGACAAGGTTGTCTTGGATACCTTGGAGTGGTGGGTTAACTGTGCTTCTCTCAGTTGGGGAGATTTAGGGCGTGGGACAGATAACTCAGATGATCTGAGTCCCACAGGCCCAAAGCTACTCCTGCTCAATGTAGCCTCAAACCCATCATTTTGCTTCATATGTCAGTGCCACCTGGCAGGCCCATTGTTCTCCCCTTTCTCCTTCTAGAGAACTCTTTCTTGCCCATCAGTCACGTATGAGTGCTCCAATCCCCTCAATTGGAAAGGCAGGTGTGAAATGACATTGCAAAATTATGCAAAGATATTATGTATTATATCACATTGGACATGAGATTGGATAAACTCATTGGGACCACTTCTCAGGCTATCCAGAGATTAAAAATAGGCTTCACTCTCACATTCCTTATCTAATCAATGGGTATTCACTGCTGGGAATACCGTGTTGAGAAGTTTGAGAGGGTGCTAAGCTTAAGTCATGATGACAGCATTGTGTTTATTATTCAAGCCTTTTAAGGGCACAAGAGAGGCAAGTGGTAGTGTATACGCCAAGTATTTGTGACTGAAGCTACTGGAATAACCCAGGTATGTCTTCTGTCTCCTTAGAGGTGTTTTTTTATTCTTATGACTGCCCTTTTCCAGCTTCATCATGGAGCTAGAGCATATGACTCTATATTCTAAGATGACTTAGCACTAAGTTCAGCAGAACTCAACTCTGAGTACTTGTTCTGTGTATAGTATACTTACCTCTGTGGGCTTTACATAAAGTGTGAATTGCTTTACATAAAGTGTGAATTGCTCCCTGCTTTCTGGATGTTGTGCCTATTCTTTTGAGACAACACTGATGAGAAATGGTCACATTGTCTGTGTGTTAGGAAGGCAAAGTTGGTTCTTGAAGTTCTGCACATCAACACTGACCTGGTTTGGAGAGACTTCATGCCACTGAGAGCCTTTGGAAGAGAGTGGGCTAAGGTATAAAATAGCTCTGGTTTAAAATCCTGCCTTGGACAAGTTATGTATCTTCTCTGTGTTTGGTGTCTTCATCTTTGTAATGGGAATCATAATGGCAATAACATAGGAGTTCAGATCTTAACAGTCTACTGCCTTAACCAACTGGCCAGATTAATCAACACTCTACCCTCCTTCCACAAAGCACATAGATGGATGCCCACAGCATGCCGAACGCTCCTCACTAGGAGCCACTCTCTAGTATACTCACTCACTTCTGCTGCAGGTGACCAGCTACTGGCCCTGGTCCCATTTCCTAAGAAGCTCCTGCTGCCCCTCAACCTAGAAGCAGCTCAACATAGTGGCTAAGAGCCTGGATTCAGAACTCAGATAGCCTGGGCTCTTTCCTTCCTCTGTTACTTACTACTGGTGTGGCCTTGAGGAAATGACAACCTCTCTGTGCTCAGTATCCTCATTTGTAAGATGAAGACATTAATCCTATCATCCTATTTCTTAAGGTGCTTGTGAGGATTTCATGAGTTAATATTTTTAAAGTGCTACAATAGTACTTGGTGCATACTAAGTGTAAACTATGTTTTTGGTGAAAATTAAGTCTGGCACAGAGTAGATTCTTATTTATCAGATCCACCTTTTCTTCTGAATTTATTTAAGTTCTTTTTTTATAGTTTGCTTCTCTGTATACATCCAAAGATGCTGCATTTTTCAACTGCAGGCAACCGTATCACTGGTAGGGTGTGATCTCCAGCGGCAGGAATTAGATCAGTCATTCAATTTTCTTGCCTTCATAAGCATATCCTTTGCTTATGGCATCACCAGACATGACTGGCCACATTTGACAAGATGGAGTTGCTTGAGGAAGCTGACTGGGAAGAGAGGGTGGCTGCAGGTCAGAAATCAAGAGCCAAGGGAGGGCTGGGTAGGAAAAAAGTTGACTAGAAAATTATAACATCAATATCAGCAGACAAGCTAATGAAGGACTGCAATTTGCAGATGCCTATCTCTCACTTTCTCTCCCTTTAAGGGAGATGGCATATGCTAATCAGGACCCTCTGAGCCTGGCCCAGGGCCAGTGCAAGTGATACAAGGTGTGTTTCAAATATGAGAGGGTGATTTTCCTACTTTGACTGAATGGTGACCTTTAAATATTTAAAACCTCTATAGACAAACCAGACACCAGTAAGACAAGGAGAAAACTGGAAAGAAATTGGTCAGACCCTGAAAGAAATAAGACTACGGGAAAGAAGGAGGATGACAAGAAAAATAAATAAATAAATAAACCTCCTATTTATGTACCATGTGACAGGCATTGTGCCAAAGCACTTGATATTATCTTATGCCTCACTACAACACTATTAGGTGAATATTGATATCCCCATTTTACAGATGAAGAAATAGGCCTGGATATCCCAACAATACACAGGTGCCACATGGCAGTGCTAAGATAAATTCCCAGGGCCATCTGATTACAGTCTTTTGGTCTTCCTCTTATACTGCACTATCTTCATGCCGGAATTAAAACAGACCTTGGGAACACTTCCCTGTTATTGTTATTGGCAATATGGGGCAGTGGTTAGGAGTCAGGTACTGAAGGCAATAAGACATAAACTCTATTCCAACCTTCACTGCATCCCACCTCTGTAATCTTAACTCTCTCAAGTACTCTGAGCATTGGTTTCTTCATCTGTGCTATGAAACCCATGCCATAGGATTGCTTTGAGTAGGGAATGGGATTATGGATGGAGAGTGTGACTGATAATAAAGTGATAGAGACTATGGTGTGCAGTGCATCGGAGTGTGCAGTACACAGAGTCATTCCTCTAATGCTTTTAGTTTTATTGTTAATTTAGTTAATCAGCTTAGGTATGCTGGTCTTATTAATTTTGTGTAACTCTGAGATTCTTGAGGAGTGTGACTCTAATTTAGAGAATCATCAAGGTTCCAGACGGAAACTCAGAGAAACCATTGAAGCCTAACCCCACATTTCACAGATGGGAACAACTAAATGTCAAAGAGAAAAGTAATTTGGCCAGGGTCACATAGAATGATAAGTAACAGCTCTGATATAACACCTAGCATACTTTCAGATATATGGAAAATAGTCTTTAAGAAATACTCAACTAATTCTGCTTTCTTAGTTTCCTTCAAATCTCATGGTATTTCTCATTCACTAACTGGTTGAGTGTATTAGTTCGCTCTCACACGGCTATAAAGATACTACCTGACACTGGGTAATTTATAAAGAAAGGAAGTTTAATTGACTCACAGTTCCACATGGCTGGGGAGGCCACATAGTGGCCTTCATAGTGGAAGGTGAAGGGGAAGCAAGCACCTTCTTTACAAGATGGCAGGAGAGTAAGCAAAGAAGGAAGTGCTGTAATTTTAAACCATTTGATCTCGTGAGAACTCACTCACTATCAGGAGAACAGCATGAAGGAAACTGCCCCCGTGATCTAATCACCTCCCACCAGGTCCCTCCCTCAACATATGGGGATGACAATTCAAAATGAAATTTGGGTGAGGACACAGAGCCAAACAATATCACTGAGGAACTTGTTAGGAGACCACATCTGAACTTGGAGGAAGTCTTCGTGGTGACCTTGACCCACCTCCCTCTGGCTTATGGCTTCTCTTTTAAACGTACAAACCCTGTTTCAATTTTCTCCAGGGGAAACCAGAAAATTAGCAGCCGTGCTGGCTCCTGTAAATACCAGAGCATTTTTTAAAGGAGAACACGGAAGAGTGTTCAATGTTGTGGTTATTTGTGGCATTTCATCAGCCAACAATGTAAATTAAATTAATTAAAAAGCATTGTACATTTCTAATTCCAACACTGGATTCACTCAGCGGCCATGGAAATTTTGAATAATGGATAATAGTTGTCCCTAATTTCTCAACATATGTTTTTTCACTTACACGGCTGTGAAAAAGATTATATTTATATTTTTGTTGATGCATAATTTCCAGCCTGAAAGCAGAATTCATATTAGCATTAAACTGCCAACAGGTGTCATCTTTTTTTTTTTCCTTTTACTGGTGAGCTGGAATAATCCCCTTTTTGGCAGGAAATCAGTATTTTTTTCACAGTCACTTTTGCATCCTTAAGAATGCTTTTAAAATTATTTTCTACTTGATGAAACACATCATCTCAAGGCTTCATTATTTTCACCCTGGTGTTATCTGATTGAATATTTCAATTATAAAAAATTTGGGAGATTTGAGTAAACCAAAACTGCATAGAATTACAACTGGGGATATTGATAACATTTTGAAGATTTTTTGCTAAGAAATATCCATGACTTTACCTGACTTGATTGCATTGTAAGCCTGGATTCTGTTTATTGTAACTATTGATTGGAACATATCTTTTAGATACAAGATAATCAAGTGAAATGTAACTGATCCTGCATTTCATTCAAGAAGATCTGTAGAGAAAGAAACATTCCCATGACAATGGCCAGTTTCTTCAGAATTGCTTTTTTCAGTCATCAAAAAAAATTCTTCTGGACACCAACAGAGTTTAAGGATAGAAAACAAAATGGAATGAAAGTGAATAGTTATCCTGAAAGTTAATTCTTCTTGCTTCTGTATTCCTCCCCGTTCAGCATCACATCATCCATCTTTATCCCCCTTAACCCAACCACCACCATCCTAGACTATTTCCTTTTATTTTTTCTGATTAATTTTTAATTTATAGTAGTCACATAACTGTACATATTTATGGAATACAGGTTGATATTTTAATACAGGTATACATTGTGTAAGGATTAAATGAGGGTAATTACTGTATCAATCACCTTAAATATTTATCATTTCTTTGTGGTGATAACATTCAAAATCTTCTCTTCTAGCTAACTTGAAATATACACTACATTGTTATTAGTTGTAGTCACTCTACTGTGTAATAGAACACAAGAACCTGAAGTCCAAGAAGGAAGAATAAAAGGAAAGAAAAACACTACCAGAACTTGTTCTTCCTATCTATCTGTAAATTTGTACCCTTGAGCAATCTCTCCTGGTCTCCACTACACCCTCCCCACTATTCTACTCTACTTCTATAAAATTAACTTTTTAAGATTCTACGTATTAATGAGATTATAAGATTTTTGTCTTTCTTTGCATGAGTTATTTCCCAACTCATAACCTAACATAATGTCCTCCAGGTTCATCTACATTGCCAAAAATGACAGAATGTTATTTTTTATGGCTGAATAATATTTCATAGTGTGTATGTATATATATACACATATATGTATACATAAATATGTATATTTATATATAGTCACATTTTCTTAATCCATTTATCTGTAGATGGGTATTTAGGTTAATTTCATATCTTGGCTATTGTGAGTAACACTGTAATAAACACGGAGGTGCAGATATCTCTTCAAAATACTGATTTCATTTCCTTTGGATATATGCCTACTAGTGGAACTGCTGGATCATATAGTAGTTCTATTTTTAATTTTTTGAGGAACCTCTATACTATTTTCCATAATGGCTCTACTTATTTACATTCCCACCAACAGTACCTAAAAGTTCCCCTTTCTCTACATCCTCAATGGCATTTGTTATTTTTCATCTTTTTGGTAATAACCATTCTAACTGGGATGAGATGATATCTCATGATGGTTTTAATGTGCATTTCCCTGATGATTTTTTTGATCATTTTTTTCATGTATCTGTGGGGCATTTGTATGTCTTCTTTCTTTCTTTTTTTTTTATTTTTATTTTTATTTATTCTTTTAAATTTTTGAGACAGTCTCGCTCTGTCGCCCAGGCTGGAGTGCAATGGTGCGGTCTCGGCTCACCACATATGCCTCCCGGGTTCAAGTAATTCTCCTCCCTCAGCCTTCCAGAGTAGCTGGGATTACAGGCGCCCACCACCACACCCAGCTAATTTTTGTATTTTTAGTAGAGATGGGGTTTCACTATGTTGACCAGCCTGGTCTTGAACTCCTGACCTCGTGATCCACCCACCTCAACCTCCCAAAGTGCTGGGATTACAGGCATGAGCCACAGTGTCTGGCCCATTTGTATGTCTTCTTTTGGAAAATGTCTATTTAAGTCTTTTCCCCATTTTAAACCTGATTAGTTGCTTTTTGGCTATTGAGTTGAAGTTCCTTATAAATTCTACGTATTAACCCCTGTCAGACATATAGCTTGCAGATACTTTCTCCCATTCTGTAGGTTGGTCTCTTCACTTTACTGATTGTTTTCTTTGCTGTGCAGAAGCTCATTAGTTTGATATAATCGAATTTGTCTATTATTGCTTTTGTTGCCTTTGCTTTTGAAGTCGTATTTTAACAATCCTTGCCCTGTTTGATTTTATGAAATATTTCCCCTGTGTTTTCTTCTAGTAGTTTCATAGTCTGGGATTTTTACATTTAAGTCTTTAATCCACTTAGAGTTGATTTTTGTGTATGGTGAGAGATAAGGTTTTCTTTCTTCTGCATGTGGATGTCTAGTTTTCTCAGCCCCACTTATTCCAAGACTGGCCTTTCCCCAATGTGTATTTTCGCACCTTTGTTAAAAATCAGCTGGCTATAAATACATGGATTTATTTCTGGGTTCTGTACACTGTTCCACTGGTCTATATCTCAGTTTTTATGCCAATAGCTTGCTATTTTGGCACTATAGTTTTGTAATATATTTTGAAGTCAGGTAATATGATGCCCCAGCTTTATTTTTCCTCAAGATTGCTTTGGCTATCCAGGGTCTTTTGCATTTTCGCATGAATTTTAAGGTTCTTTTTATTTCTATTTCTGTGAAGAATGTCATGGGCTGGGCGCGGTGGCTTACACCTGTAATCCCAGCACTTTTGAAGGCCAAGGCGGGTGGATCACAAGGTCAGGAGTTCGAGACCAGCCTGACCAACATGGTGAAACCCCATCTCTACTAAAAATACAAAAAATAACTGGGTGTGGTGGCAGGTGCCTGTAATCCCAGCTTCTCAGGAGGCTGAGGCAGGAGAATCGTTTGAATGCAGGAGCAGAGGTTGCAGTGAGCCGAGTTCATGCCATTGCATTCTAGCCTGGGCAACAAGGCAAGACTGTCTCGAAAAGAAAAGAAAAAAAGAATGTCATTGGTACTTTGATAGGAATTGCATTGAGTCTGTAGATTGATTTGGGTAATATGGACATTGTTAACAATATTAATTTTCCCAATTCATGAACGTGGCCTATCTTTCGATTTATTTGTGTCTACTTCAATTTTTTTTCATGATTTTATAGTTTTAATTGTAGGGATTCTTTTTTTACCTCTTTGGCTAAATTATTTCTAGGTATTTTTTGGTAACTATTATAAATGGGATTGCTTTTCTTGATTTCTTTTCTAGATAGTTCATTATTGGCATATTGAAATGCTACCAATATTATATGTTGATTTTATATCCTACAACTTTACAAAACTTATTACTTCTAACAGTCTTTTGGTGGAGTCTTCAGAGTTTTCGATACGTATATATCATGATGTTATCTGCAAACAGAAACAATTTGGCTTCCTTTTTCCCAATTTGTATGGAAATTTATTTCATTTATTTCTTTCTCCTGCCTAATTGCTCTGGCTAGAACTTCAAGTACTATGCTGAATAAAAGCAGTGAAAGTGGGCATCCTTGTCTTCTTCCAGATATTAGAGGAAAAGCTTTCAGCTTTTCCCTGTTCATTATGATGTTAGCTGTGAATTTGTCATATATGGACTTTATTGTGTTAAGGTATATTTCTTCTAAAACCAACATGTTGAGCACTTTTGTAATAATGCAATGCTGAATTCTACCAAATGCTTTTTCAGCATCTATTGAAATAATCATATGGTTTTTGTCCTTGATTCTATTAATGTGATTTATCATGTTCATTGATTAGCATATGTTGAACCATCTTTGCATCCCTGGAATGAATCCCATTTGATCATGGTAAATGATCTTTTTAATGTATTGTTTAATTTGGTTTGCTAGTATTTTGTGAAGATTTCTGCATCTATGTTAATCAGGGATATTGGCCTATAGTTTTCTTTTTGGTGTGTGTCCTTGTCTGATTTTGGTATCCACGTGATGTTCATCCTGTATTATTTCCAAATGTTCTTTAACTGTTCCCTTTTCTTTCAGTCTTGTTTATCACTCCCCAGCCCCCAACACCTTTTCCCAATCATACCTTTACACCATGACTCAGTACTTCTATAAAAAGGCACATTTAATCTGTCTCTGTCTTGCTTACACCCTACAAGGGCCCTCCCTTAAACTGAGAATAAACTTGGAATTCTTGATGTACACACAAAGTTCCTTATGATCTGGTCCCCTTTGCCCCTAATTCATTTTCCCGGTCATTCTCTGTTACTTAACTCTTCAACTCTATTGTGCAGCCACGTGGGGCTTCCCGGATCTCCAAGAACAAATATGGTGTTCCATTTCAAGTTCCAATAACTTTGTTCATGCTTCTTCCTCTGCCTGGTTGCCCCCATGCTATACATCTCCAGAATATCTTTTTCAAGACCTAGCTCTGGGATCTTCTCCCCAGAAAAAGCTTCCCTGTTTTATGAACAGCACTATTATCACCCTGAGGTTCTTCCACCTTACCATAGATAGACTGATATTTCACATTATCTTTTAGTTCAAGAGAAAGCATATCATAGTAGTTCAGAGCTTGGGTTCAAAACCCAGATTTCCTGGGTTCACATCCCACCTCTGCCATTTACTAGCTATGTGACATTGGTTAAGATACTCAGCCTCTCTACTCCTTGGTTTTCCCGTCATAAAATGGGTAAAAATAATTATACTTACCTGATAGGCTGTTTATGAGAATTAAATGAGGTAACGTGTAAATTACATAAAACAGGAGCTGGCAAGTAGTAAATGCATAGCTCATTATTGATATATTTTAGTTCTTATCTGTATAACTTTATTGTATTTGTTTATCATCTACTTCCCCCACCAGACTGAGAGTTCTCTGAGGGCTGGAATGTAGTTGTATCATCTTGTATCCTGAGTGCCTGGTACTGTGCCTGACATATAACAGGTGCTTAGGAACAGATGTAGGTGGAATGAATGAATAAATCAATATAGACAGACAATCTGGAAGCTCAGCAAACAAAGAAACATTTCCCCTGTCAGTTATGTAATGTAGTTTTTATGTCTCTGACACTTCTTCTTCTTACATTTTCTTAACTAAGAAACTCCTCTTTTCATGATTACTAGGCTAAAACATGGGATGAGTGTTTGCTGCACATTTGCAAGAGTCCAACATCCATACTCTGATCCAAGTTGGTTTGAGTCCAACATCCATACTCTGGTGGCCTGACTTGTTCTATTTTACTTTCCTTTGCCATTGCCAAAATGAATATCCATTGATGGGATTTGTAGTATTCATCACATGCAGCCACCAGATGGATCTGAATAGTTTCTCTAACAACCAATTTGCATTTGGATTTTGCTTCCAAAATGCCTTCCCATTATAGCTTCCCTTTGCCTTCCATGCACTCCACCATCTTCCCCTCTTTTCTGAAGCCTGTACCTCTAATTTTGGAAATCATGGATCAATTTGGTACAACCAAGCTGCACAGAGTTAAAACAAGGACTGTATTTTGTTGCCAAATCATGACTTGCTCATATATTTCAGCTTGTACCATGTAACCTATCAAAATTTATTATAATCTTCTTTTGCAGAGGGTCCCCAAGGTATTGTTGCAAGACTGACTTTTTTCTCCCTACCACTCCTAAGCCTTCATCCTTAGGTTATGTTGCCTACTGGGCATGGTTCTTGAGCTGAGATCTTCTTGTTAAGGATGTTATGCTTATTTGGGGCTCATGTTAGGTTTCATGAACTTAAATGAAGAGTAAGTAATAAATTCATAGAGGAAATTGGGTTAGCATGTGATTAACATCCCGGCTGATGCAGATGAGTGTACCAGTGATGGAAACATGTGCTTGTATCATGATGAAATGCAGATTAGAGGCCCTGGAGCCAACCCAAGGAAATCAGCCCAAAACTGTTTCATCTCTGTCAGTTTTAATCTGATAGAAAGAAAGCATGCTTTAATGCAGCGAGAAAAATATGAATGCCTGATATAACCAAGTGGCACTCTATCTTCCATTGAGATGTTATGAAAATACTCACATTGTGGTATAGTAGAAAGTATACTGGAGTATAACTTAAAATACCTGAATTAAAATTTCATCTTGGTCACTAACTTATGCTGTGAGATCTCTCCCAGGGTCTTAAGTTTCTGTATCTGTAAAATGAATGTTCTGGGTTAGACCAAGGGTTTTCAATAGAATTCTCCTTCACAATTCAAATAAAAATAATATTTACACACTCTCGTGAGCAGCCCCAGGGTTGTACACAATTACCCATGTACTATATATATAGCTCAGTCCCTTTCCTTCTGCTCAAGTAAGCATATCAGAAGCACATGAGTGAGACTGACATTTTAAGATAACCTTGAATCCTATTCTAATTCATTTAAAACATTAAAAAAGCAAATAATTTGGAATATTGGGTACATCACTAATAATTCTTAAAAGGTGATTTGCTACACAATTCCCAAAAAGTATGTTACAAAACTTGATTCAATTATCTCTAAACGATTTTAACTGTCCCTTGTGATACAGATATTATTCTATATCTCTATGAGTTAATCAAGGTACCAGTAAAGTCCAAAGCATCGAGTCTTTAGCTATTTGGAATAAAATTACAAGGAGTACATTTTTGTAGGTAGGCCTCACTTTGGTGGGTATTCTCATTTCCCCTTAGAAAATTGTGGCAATAGTAACTTCTTGATTCTTATGTTGATGTGCTAAGCAGAACCGTGTTTCTAAAATGAAGTAATAACATGTCACTTAAAATAAGATGGAATACTTTTTAAAAATTCAACACATATAGTACTTGACTAAAACAGTAGTGAGTCATGTTTTGAGATATCTCGTAAAAAATTTATCTGCAGGGGAAAACTCCAAATGTTTGTAGTATGGTGGCTATTAAAATTCTGAGTAATATAGAAAAAAATAATATAAAAGCTTCCAAAGGACCATTGAAGTTCAGTATAAAACTTAAATATAAAGATTACCTATACAATTTTTGATTTCCAATAACATGTTAGTCTAGATAACCTGAAAAAGCTTTACTCTATACCTGGATAACATTAACCTTTGTTTTTCTTCTGTTTCCATAGACATGCCTCTTATTAAAAATCAGTTTGCCTTCATCACATGTAGAGGCCTAGCCCATCTGCAGTGCCATCTCCTGATATGGGAAACAGCTGTTTAACTGAACTCATCTAGTTTCAGGACTAGGAAACTGACTAAAAAGATATGGGGCAGTATATTTTAATCTACTCTTTCCTGCTTATCCCAATCTGTCTTTCTAACAACCTACTCATTAACTTATAGTCCGCTGTTCACTTAAGTGCTATGCCAAACTGTGGATGAGAGTGCTAACATGCTTGTCATGCAAGCCTTGACAGGCACCCGTGAGTACAGGCAGACAGCTGCAAAGCAGCAGTTTCACTCCTATTCCCCTGGAGCCAACTGCTATCCCCACCACTCCCCCTGTCAGCAGGAAGAAGCCAGAGTAGTCTAGGCCTTTTCCCATCTGCATAGCCCACACCTTAAGAATAAGGTGTTATGAAATCCAAAGGGAGGGATTGAAACCACCTTTGCAAAATAATGGCAGTGAGATAAATCCTACATGGCTGACCCTATCTTGCTTCTAGCCTCACTGGCTAGCTGTCTTTGCTCATTTCTAGGCTTAGGCCAAGCTAACTTTGGGAAACATTTAGTTTATAGTTTAAATGATAATAGGCCTTTGACAAAATTCAGCTGCATTGATAAAACTAATGAAAGGGCATCAGGTTAGGAGGATGAGTGGAGCCAATTCTGCTAAGGTGTAGAGATAAATGATTACCAGCCATTATTCCTGAGGTCACAAGACATGTAACTTCTACAATTACTCCTGCAGATAACATCACTATTGTAGAATCTAAGATTGGCCTTTTGAGATGTCTTTTCAGGTTTTTGCATTTCTGACAACCAGTGTCTCCAACTGGAGCAGCTGCCTCCCTGACCCTCCTGCCTGCCCCAATCTTGGACCTGTCCTGTGGCCCCACACATAAAGGGACTCCCTGGCCTACCATCCTTGAGAAACCCTAGCCTTTGAATTTTTGTGGAGATTGAGTTGAGTAACAACTTTGTCTTCCATGTGTCGTGGCTGGCCTCTTGTCTATTAAACTCTTTATTCCACACACACACACTAAAAACCTAGATAAAGTAAATCTTGCATGAAAGACTGAGTGCACAAGAAATAAAGGGAAACTACAAGAGTCCTAAAGCAAAGAATTAACCTCCCCCCCCCAAAAAAAACAGCAAATTAAAATAGTGACAATAAAGCCATGAGGTGGAGAGAAAAATTTCCAGTCGCAACAACTTGGGGACATAGGTTTTAAGTCAACTTTGGGAAAACCGACTAATACTTAAGCTCTCTCATGGTGAAACTGAGAACATGCTCATAAGGCCTGACTGTATAAAAGACTGTCTTAAGAAAAATTCACCTATAGTATAGACAACAGTGAAGTTTGTACATCTTGTTTTGAGTTACAGATGGTGAAAACTTTTTCTTTAAGAACTCAGAATCATGGAATTAGACTAGAGATTTTATTGTATACTATTCCGTAGTATGAAACTCTAAACAAATAAAATTGACCCTGAGACACCAGGCAGAAGTAAGCAGAAAACCTATGGAGGTATACACCTTCAACCGAGGCTTCACAGGATGTCCACAGAGAAATGTAATGATGAAATCAAAATTCAGAATTGCAAAAACTTACAAGCAAACAAATTGACATGGGTGAGAGTCAGTAGGCACTAAACAAAAACATTAAACACCCAATAACTTCAGGTGATATAGATATAGGAGCTAGAAAAAAATTATTTAGGAAGATAGTGAGGGTAAAAGGAGTCCTCCGCAAGGCTTCCCTTTTAATAAAAAGCAGCCCCCAAATCATTTCTTTTCTAACAAAGAGCAGCCTGAAAAATCAAGTCGCAAAAGTAGAAAAGCAAGCTGGAAACTTGCATGGGTGAATGCCAGCAGCCGTGCCAATAAAAAGGGGCTACCTGGAAGCTAGGTATGTTGAACATGGAGGCTCCATCTTCCCTTTTGTCACCACCTGTACAATAAGGAACAAGCAACATAGCTCCATCCAGGTAGAGAACCCATCTGCATAATAAAATTGGGGGGTGGGGTGGCCAGATTTTCACATGCTATGCAAATGGCACACCTGGTCCAATCAATCTTGTGCGTAAGTCAGACACCACCTCCTCAAGCTCATCTATAAAATCTCCTGCATTCTGCCGCAGAACCAGCAACCCATTTTCTCTGGGACCCTTCTCTGTAGCAAGAGAGCTCTTTTTTTTCTTTCACCTATTAAACTTCCACTCTTAACCTCACTCTGGTGTGTCTGCATCCTTGTTTTCTGAGGCGGTGGGGTAATGAGCCTCGGTTATTACCCCAGACAATGACAGCACTTCAATATAAAAGTTGAACATATATATATAGAGAGAGAAAGAGAGATAAGAGGGAGGTTTAAATTAATAAAATCATAAATGGGAATTGGAAATTTTTAAGCAATGAATAAGAAAGCATGGAAAAGGAAAAGAAAAATATCTTTGAAATTACCAAATGGAATTTCTACCAATGTAAACTATAGTCATTAAAATAAACTCCATGACTGGATTAAATAGTAATTCAGATATAGTTGGAAATATAACTAGTGAACTGGAATACAGAAATATCTGGAGTTCACAAAGAGAAATAAGGAAGTAAAGAATATTTAAAAAGACTTTAAAAGTAGATAGGGAGAATAGGACCAAATGTTCTAATTTATTTTAATGGTATTTTTCAGGAAAAGAGAATAGAAAAAATTGGAATAAAAAATATTCAAAGAATTAATAACAAAACTTTTCCAGATTTGATAAAACTGCATGATTCCTTAGGAGGAAGTGGAACCAGATGGACAAATAGAGCCCTCGTGTGATTGTTTCCTGCAGGAACACCAGATTGAACAACTATTCATGCAAGAAAACACCTTCGTAGGAGCCAAAACAATTAGAGTGATCACAGTGCCTGATCTGAACATAATATTAAGGAGAGAGGAATTGAAGAGGATAGGAAAGACGGTCTTGCATTGCATGCACCATCCCTCCCTCAAACCCAAGCAGCAGAGCATGGAGAGAAAATCTGTGCTTAAGGGAGAGAGAGCAAAGCAAGAGTGGGACTCGGTACTGTCGTATCACAGTGGAACATAGCAAAGGGCAGAATTCTGCTGGCACCCAGGACAGGAGCCTTCAGACCAGCCCTGGCCCACAGGGAAATTCTGTGCCCCATTGGGAGGAACCCAAGTCACAGCCAGCTTCACCACTGACTAACTGAAGTGGCCTGGGACCCAGAATAAATTTGAGTAGCAGTCATGCCACAAGGACCACAGTCCTAGGGCAAGCCCTGCTGCTTTGCTGATCTCAGAAGCACTGGACTTTGAGTGCAACTCAGTGCAACACCAGAGCCCAAGAGACTGCCTGCATCACCTCCTCCAATTCAGGCAGTACAGCTCCAGGAGAGACTCCTTCCACTTGAGGGAAAGAGAAGGAAGAGTACAGAGAACGACGTCTTACAACTTGGGTACTAGCCCAGCCACAGTAAAATAAAGCACCAGGTAAATTCTTGAAGCCCAGATTCCAGGTCTTTGCTCCTAGTCAGCATTTCTAAAGCCACCTTGAGCTGGAAGGGAATCTGCTGGCCTGATGGAATAGACCCAATCCAGGCAGAATTCACCACCTGTTGACTGAAGTGGTCTTGGGCCTTGCAAAAACATCAGCAGCAGTCAGGGAGTGGTAGCTGCAGGCCTTGGGTGAGCCCCAGTACTATGCTGGTCTGTAAGGCTTCAGATGTGACCTTGTGCAGTGCCAGTGATAGTGGCCATGGGAGTGCCCATATGACCCCTTCCCTAACTCAGGGCAGCCCACATGGAGAGAGACTCCTTCCAATTTGGGGAAAGAGTGGAAAGAGAGTAACTTTGCCTGGTAACCCAGGGAATTCTTCCCTTTCCTACCCAAGTCCACCAAGGCAGTGTATGTAGGGCATCTGCAAGAGTCACATAGATCCTGGGCTCAGAGAGCCCCCTAATGTTAAAACAGCTGACGTGACTTCAGGCTTAGGTCACAACCCTCAATCCCCTTTGAATTCATAGAAAGCCCTCTTAAGAAGGATGAGTACAAATAAGTCCTGTCTGTACAGACTGGAATAAATATATGAATTCTTAGAAAAAGAAAACATCAATATATAAAACATATAAATCTATACTTAGATATATGGACACAAGAATGTAAAATGGTACAGCCAGTCTGGAATATAATTGGGCAATTTCTTATAAGATTAAACACTTACCATACAACTCAGCAATCACACTCCTGGGCATTCATCCCCAGAGAAATGAAAACCTCGATTCACAAAAACATGTACATAAATATATTCATAACAGCCTTACTTTAATAGCCCAAAACTAAAAATAAACAAAATGCCCCTCAATAGTTGAATGGTTTAAGAAATTGCAACACATCCGTACTATGAAATACTACACAGCAAAAAAAAAAAAAAAGTTTCTTATTTTCTTATTCACACAATAATGTGAATGGATCTCAAGAGCATTATGATGGATAAAAAAAAATCTAATACCTAAAGGTCACATACTGTGTGATGTGTGATTCCATTTATAAATTCTCAAAATGACAAAATTATAGAGATGAGAACAGATTAGTAGTTGCCAGCAATTAGATAAGGTGGAGTAGAGTTGGGGGTAGGAGGGCGTGAGGATGGTCTTTGTAGTGATAGAATATATCTGTTTTTTGGGGGGTTTTTTTGTTTGTTTGTTTGTTTTTGAGATGGAGTTTCACTCTTGTTGCCCAGGCTAGAGGACAGTGGCATGATCTCGGCTCACTGCAACCTCCACTTCCCGGGTTCAAGCGATTCTCCAGCCTCAGCCTCCTGAATAGCTGCAATTACAGGCGCCTGCCACCACGCCCGGCTAATTTTTTGTATTTTTAGTAGAGATGGGGTTTCACCATGTTGGGCAGTCTGGTCTCGAACTCCTGACCTCAGGTGATGCGCCCACCTCAGCCTCCCAAAGTGCTGGGATTACAGGTGTGAGCCACCGCGCCCGGCCTGGAATGTATCTTAATTGGGGTGGTTAATACATGAATTCACACGTGATAAAACAGCATATAAATATATACACCTAGTGCACAAATTTCCTGGTTGGGGTAGGATATAACCATTGGGGGAAATTGGGTAAAGGTCAAAGAAAAATGGGGAGAAAAGATATTGATAAACATGTGAGTAGTCTGGGCATGGTAGCTTACACCTGTAATTGCAGCACTTTGGAAGACTGAGGTGGGCAGATCACTTGCAGGAATTCGAGACCAGCCTAAGAAACATGGCAAAAACCCATCTCTACAAAAAAATACAAAAATTAGCTGAGTGTGGTAGTGTGCACCTGTAACCCCAGCTACTCAAGAGGCTGAGGTGGGAGGATTGAGGATTGATCACCTGAGCCTGGGGAGGTTGAGGGTGCAGTGAGCCCTGATGGTACCACAGGACTCCAGCCTGGACAACAGACTGACACCCTGGAAAGAAAGGAAAAGAAAGAGAAAAGGAAGGAAAGGATGGAGGGAGGAAAAGAGAAAGAGAAAAAAAGTAGAGAAAGAGAGAAGGAGGGAAGAAGGAAGGAAGAGTAAATATTAACAAACATGATTTTTTAAAAAATGGATTTATTTATTCAGTCCAAAAATATGTATTAAGTACTATGTGTTGTAAAAAAGGATTCAGCAGTGTCACATGAGCACATGTGACCCTTCTGTACTATTTTTGTAACCTTTTTGTGAATCTGTAACTATTTCAAAATAAAAAGTTTAAAGTATAAACACTATAAAATTTAAGCTATATACCTTAAATTATATATTTGAAAAAAAGTAAGCCGTGAAAAAGTAAGATGCAAAAAGAAAAATGAGGAAAAAAGATATTACTAAGCATGTGACTAAATGTCACCAAGCATTAGCAGTAAAAAAAGAAAAAAAAAAAAACCCTAGTATTGTATTGATTCATTAGTCCAAAGATACGTATTAAGTACTATGTGTTAAACATTATTGTAAATGGGATGCAGCAGTGTCATATTTCTGATAGGAGAGAGACGTAATAAGCAAATAATCACTACTCTGTCGATTTAAAAATAAGATTGATCTACAATATTAGGCAAAAATTAAAGGTAAGATATGCAGCAAAGTGATCAGAATTAAAATGAGTTTAAGCTATTTATTCATTTATTTGCTTAGGGGTAGGGAGAGCTTTTTATTAACTTTATATTTTAAGTCAAATATTCTTATTAAAAGAATAGAAAAGAATGAATATCTTCTAAGCTGGTAGAGAGAAAAATGGAAAAAGAAAACCTAATCCAACAGAAAAGAGAAATGAAGGAGAAATATATTTTTAATGCAATGTAAATAGGAAGTACAAACTGTTAAAGCAAATCCATAGTTATTAGTAGCCATATGTAAATAGACTAAACTCTGTTAAAATACACAGATCACAATGGATTTTTAAAAAATCCAGATATATGCTACTTACAGGAACTTACCTAAACTATGAGGATGCTGAAAGATTAACAGTTTTAAAAATGGAAAAATATATACCAGGTGAACACTATGTAAAACAAATCTTCTGTACCTAAAATAATCTGAGACATCACCAGAAGGCAAGATATTTGACTACTTGGGAAGACTAGTTCGTCTGGCTCTTAGCCTATGCATTTATTCAGTAGATTCATTAACCACAACTATGAGTAGAATACTATGTAAAGGACTATGGGTAATATAAAGGTGATGGGCTGCTGTTTATGATCACCCTGCTCTTATAATTTAGTACTATTTTTATTATGCCACACTAAAAGCTCAGATTTTTTCCCAGACTTTTAATCCTGTCTATAGAAATTCTAGCTGATGTTTACACAAAGAAAAAGAAAGAAAGAAAGGAAGGAAGGAAAGATGAAAAGGAAGGAAGGAAGGAAGGAAGGAAGGAAGGAAAAGAAATTTCCCAAAGAGCAAGGGCATTTTAGAGTCACATCAACTGGTCAAATAGTAAGTTCAATAGACTAGTAGATCTATTGAAACTATTTGCATAATGCAATCAGAAACAATTAGAATTGTCTTCTCAGATTCAGCTTCTTTTGTCAGATACATACAAAATTACATATTGGTCAACACAGGAATAGAGTTTACATTACTTTCTGGAGTTGGCTCTTCTACCAAATGCATCCTTATAAATTTGTATTTCAACTGACTTTCCTAAAAGGCCAAATAGTTAATAATGTCTTGAATTCTGCTGGTTTAGAAAGAAGCTAAAAATGGAAGCTATCCAGGTTCCTTTGCTGCTTGAGATTACTTTGTGTTTGAAAATGGTACTTAGAATTATAGCATCTCAAGGATGGAATAAACCATTATTAAAACTGAATTCAACTCTCATCTGTAATTGGTGCTATAATTTGCATCACAAAATGAAAAATGCTCAGAGGCCAGGGGTTACCTTAAATTAGTTACATCAGATGGGAGTAATATGAGAGGCATTGGTGGGGAGTGCAGCAAACTGGAGAGTGCCTAGCCCTTAGAAAACAGCTTCTGTTTATTGCTACAACAGAGGAATTTAAGTCTGTCTAGTTTTGACAAAATCATCCAATTTTTTAGAAGCCAGGAATCTGGATTTCTTTTTAACTTTTATTTTAAGTTCAGGAGTACATGTACAGGTTTTTTACATAGGTACACTTTTGTCATGGGGGTTTGTTTTACAGATTATTTTATCTCCCAGGTATTAAGCCTAGTACCCATTAGTTATTTTTCCTGATCCTCTCCCTCCTCTCACCCTCCACCCTCCAATGGGCCACCGTGTGTGTTGTTCCCCTTTATGTGTCCATGTGTTCTCATCATTTAGCTCCCACTTATAAGTGAGAACATGCAGTACTTGGTTTTCTGTTCCTGTGTTAGTTTGCTAAGGATAAGGGCCTCCAGTTCCATCCGTCTCCCTGCAAAGGACATGATCTCATTCTTTTCTTATGGCTGCATAGTATTCCATGGTGTATCTGTACCACATTTTCTTTATCCAGTCTATTATTGATGGGCATTTAGGTTGATTCTATGTCTTTGATATTGTGAACAGTGCTGCAATGAATATACATGTGCATGTGTCTTTATAATAGAATAATTTATATTCCTTTGGGTATATACCAGTAATAGGATTGCTGGGTCTAATTGTATTTTTGTCCTTAGGTCTTTGAGGAATCACCACACTATTGGCCACAATAAATGAACTAATTTACACTCCCACCAACAGTGTATAAGTGTTCCTTTTTCTCCACAACTTTCCCAGCATCTGTTTTATTTTTTATTTTTTAATAATAGCCATTCTGACTGGTGCGACATGGTATCTCACTGTGGTTTTGATTTGTATTTCTCTAATGATCTGTGATTCTGAGCTTCTTTCCACATGATTGTTGGATGCATGTATGTCTTCTTTTGAAAAGTGTCCATTCATGTCCTTTGACCACTTTTTAATAAGATCTTTTTTTTCTTGTAAATTTGTTTAATTTTCTTATAAATGCTGGACATTAGACCTTTGTCGAACGCATAGTTTGCAAAAATTTTCTCCCGTTTTGTAGGTTGTCTGTTTACTCTGTTGATAGTTTATTTTGCTATGTAGAACTCTTTAGCTTAATTAGATCCCATTTATCAATTTTCACTTTTGTTGCAACTGCTTTTGGTGGCTTCATCACAAAATCTTTTTCCTTGTCTATATCCTGAATGGTATTGCTTAAGTTATCTTTCAGAGTTTTTATACTTTGGGGTTTTAAATTTAAGTTCTTAATCTACCTTGAGTTAATTTTTGTATATGGTGTAAGGAAGAGGTCCAGTTTCAATCTTCTGTATATAGCTAACCAGTTATTCCAGCACCATTTATTGAATAAGGAATCCTTTCCCCATTGCTTATTTTTGTCAGGTTTTTGAAGACCAGATAGTTGTAGGTGTGCTGTCTCATTTCTGGTTTCTCTATTCTGTTCTATTGGTCTATGTGTCTGTTTTTGTACCAGTACCATGCTGTTTGGTTACTATAGCCCTGTGGTATAGTTTGAAGTCTGGTAGCATGATGCCTTCAGCTTTGTTAGGAATCTAGACTTACTAAGAATTTGCCTGACTTCTAAAAACTAATTCAAAAATTTACTAAATATCTTCCAAATGGCAAGTACTGCTCTAGATTCTGATGATACCGAAATGACTAAAACATGGCATATATCCTAAAGGAGCTCAGACTATTGAAAAATAAGTAGCATAACGGAGAAAGTAAAGCCATTCTATAACATCATGGCATACCTTTATGCCAACATAGAGGTAGATGCCTTAGAGGGAAAGTATTAGAGGAAATTATGAGAATTTGAATACATTTTACAAGTTGGAGCAGGACTAGAAATGGCATCCTGGAGGAGCAACACCCTTTGAATTATGCCTTAAAATATAAAATGATACTTCTTTTTGCATGAGCAAAGTAAGGGAGTTATAAATATCCATAGCTTCAAAAGGGTGGTGTAGAAACAATCTGGCTTTACTCTTTTAGCCCCCACCAAAATAAAAAAGAAATACTCAGCACCAAAGTAATCACCAGCATTATCCCAGAACTCAAATCTGAGACTGAAACACTCCCCTGGTGCCACAGACAAGTGAAAAAACTCCAAGCAGACAGTGAATTGCAAAGAGCCTCTAAGCAAACATATTCAAGAAAAAAATATAACAAGCCAGACAGCAAAGACTGGAATAAATAACTAATCCATCAGTGCTAAGACATAAACATATGTCCTCAAGAAATGGCAGCAAACAGGGAACCATGGCCTCCTCAAATGGACAGAGCAAGGAACCATTGACCAACTCTAACGAGATGGCAATATGTAAGCTCTCAGATCAAGAATTCAAAATAGCAGTTTTAAGGAAATAGCAAATTCCAAGATAGTGCAGAAATAAACAATTCAGAAATTTATCAGAGAAATTTAACAAAGAGGTGAAATAATAATAAGACCCCCAGAAATCCTGGAACTAAGAAATGTATTTGCTGAACTGAAAAAATATATTAGAGGCTCTTCACAGCAGAATGGATCAAGCAGAGGAAAGAATCAGTGAACTTGAAGACTATTTTTTTTTGTTATTTTTTCTTTTTTTATTTTATTATTATTATTATACTTTAAGTTTTAGGGTACATATGCACAACATGCAGGTTTGTTACATATGTATACATGTGCCATGTTGGTGTGCTGCACCCATTAACTCGTCATTTAGCATTAGGTATATCTCCTAATGCTATCCCTCCCTCCTCCCCCTACCCCTGGTGTGTGATGTTCCCCTTCCTGTGTCCATGTGTTCTCATTGTTCAATTCCCACCTATGAGTGAGAACATGTGGTGTTTGGTTTTTTGTCCTTGCGATAGTTTGCTGAGAATGATGGTTTTCAGCTTCATCCATGTCCCTACAAAGGACATGAACTCATCATTTTTTATGGCTGCATAGTATTCCATGCTGTATATGTGCCACATTTTCTTAATCCAGTCTATCATTGTTGGACATTTGGGTTGGTTCCAAGTCTTTGCTATTGTGACTAGTGCTGCAATAAACATACGTGTGCATATGTCTTTATAGCAGCATGATTTATAATCCTTTGGGTATATACCCAGTAATGGGATGGCTGGGTCAAATGGTATTTCTAGTTCTAGATCCCTGAGGAGTCACCACACTGAGTTCCACAATGGTTGAACTAGTTTACAGTCCCACCAACAGTGTAAAAGTGTTCCTGTTTCTCCACATCCTCTCCAGCACCTGTTGTTTCCTGACTTTTTAATGATCGCCATTCTAACTGGTGTGAGATGGTATCTCATTGTGGTTTTGATTTGCATTTCTCTGATGGCCAGTGATGGTGAGCATTTTTTCCTGTGTTTTTTGGCTGCATAAATGGAAGACTGTCTATTTGAAAATACATAGTCAGAGGAAAAAAAGAAAGCAGAATGAAAACCACCTACAAGATATAGAAAATTACATCATAAGAGTAAATCTAAGAATCACTGGTGTTCAAGAGGGAATTGAGAAAGAGCAAGGGATAGAAAGCATATTCAAAGAAATAAAAACAAAATTTCCCAAACATATTGAAAGATATAAATATCTTTCAGGCATAGAAAAGTCAGAGATCACCAAACAGATTTAACCCAAATAAGAATACTCAAGGCATATAAAAATAAAAGTCTCAAAGATCGAGGACAAAGAGAAGATACTAAAAGCAGAAAGAGAAGAGAAACAACATATAAAGGGGCTTCGGTTCATCTGATAACAGACTTCTCAGAGGAAACCATATAGGCCAGGAGTGAGTGGGGTGACATTTTGAAAGTGCTTAGACAAATATCCACAGCAGGTACAGCAAAAGATGAAAGGAACAGAGTAGCTGGAAATAAGGTGAAGGTGAAGTAGATAGTAGCCAGTTTGGAGCTGGGTATTTATCTCCAAGTGAAGGAGTTTGTTCTCTATCCTGGAAGGATGAGACACATACAATGATTGTTACCAAGGTTTTTGTTTTGTATTAAACTTAGTTTTAGTAAAAGTATTACTGTACTTAAAAAAAGTATGATAATGGTAACTAGGAATACAGTTGAGGGAAATTAAACTGGAGTCAGGGAAACCAAGAGAGAAACAAAGAAAATCTGAACTCAAGTAATGGCTGTGGGGACAGAGTGAAGGAGTCGGATTCAAATGACCGGTAGCACATGAGGATGACCAATTGCACCTGAGGAGAGAGCAGTCAAATAAAGTGGGAAACTGGTTGACTGTTGATGCTGTCAGCAAGTTAGAAAAGAGACAGAAGAAATTCAAAAGGGAGGAGAGTAGGAAGACAGTGGAGAAGGGATAATCATACTATTTAAAATACCATCTTTAAATTTTACACTAGAATGTTTCCTTATTAATTTTTTTTTCTTTGAGATGGACTCTCACTCTGTCACCAGGCTGGAGTGTAGTGGTGTGATCTCAGCTCACTGCAACCTCCGCCTCCCGGGATCAAGTGATTCTCCTGCCTCAGCCTCCCAAGTAGCTGGGACTACAGGCACGCACCACCACGCCGAGCTAATTTTTGTATTTTTAGTAGAGACAGGGTTTCACCATATTGGCCAGGATGGCCTCAATCTTTTGACCTCGTGATCTGCCTGCCTCAGCCTCCCAAAGTGCTGAGATTACAGGTGTGAGCCACCACACCTGGCCCCTTATTACTTCTAATGACAATTTTTCCTCTGTAAGTTAGAGTCACTTCTTCTATAAAACAACATCTCTGCATTTTGTCTTGCTTCCTCATCATCCCAACACTGTGTCTTAAGACTCTTGAATATATATGGGCAGAATAGTTAGAAAGCATCAAGGATATTTACAAAATGTATATTCACTAGCTGTATGTGATGTTTTCTTTTTATTCATCCTGTGAAAGTAAGCCTGGAGACAGAGCCCCTTTCTAGTTAGGTGACTTAGGGCAAGTTTCTAAACTTCTCTTTGTCTCTCAATTGCTTAATTATAAAGTAAGGATAAGAAGAATAACCCTTATTTCCTAAAGATGTGAAATGTTAGTAAGTTGCATGTTAAAAAGTTACTATTATATATAGAGGCTGGGCACCATGACTCACACCTGTAATCCCAGACTTAGGGAGGCCAAAGTGGGAGAATTGCTTGAGTCCAGGAATTCAAGACCAGCCTGGACAATATAGTGATACCCCGTGTCTACTAAGAAAAATTAAAAACTTAGCAGAGCATGGTGGCATGCACCTGTAGTCCCAGCTACTTGGGAGGCTGAGACAGGAAGATGGCTTGAGCCCAGGAATTCAAGGCCGCAGTGAGCAATGATCATGCCATTGCACTCTAGCCTGGGCAATGGAGAAGGACCCTGTCTCTAAAAAAATTAATTAAGTAAATAATTTTTTAAAAAGAACATGGAAAGCATGCCAGTAGTTCTTGTTGATGTTATTACATTTAATGAATCTAATGCAGATCATAAATTAATATTGACAGCAAGTTAGAATTTTGAAGATATCACATGTTGTTCATTTCTTTCTGAATTCAGGAAGGAGAAAGAGAAGCTCCCAGTGCCAAATAAATGGGTTTATGATCAGACTATTGATATATACTATGCTGAGGGAGCCATGTGCTGATGAACATGTTTATTCACTCATTTATTACCTTGTTCATTTATTCAATCATTTCTCTCTCCATCCACCCATTGATTTGCCCATTCAACAAACAATTATTGCAGGTTGATTATTTGCTGGTCACTGATCTAGACATTAGGAACCTCCAGACGACATACTCTTGTTGGAAACATAGGTAAATAAATAAGTAGTTATAATATAATGTGGTGACACATGAAGCCGCTCCCTAAAAAAAATCCACAAGGAGCAGAAAGCATTAGTTGTTTTTCTTGAGTTATTCAAATTGGTCCTCAAAGTAGAGAAGGACAGGCACTGTGGCTCACGCCTGTAATCCTAGTGCTTTGGGAGGCCAACACAGGAGGATTTCTTGAGGCCAGAATTTCAAGGCCAGCCTGGGTAACATAGTGAGACCCCCATCTCTACAAAAAAAAAAAAAAATGTTTAAAAGTTAGAGGGCATGGTGGTGCATGCTTGTAGTCCCAGCTACTTGAGAGGGTGAAGAAGGAGGGTTCCTTGAGCCCAGGAATTTGAGGCTACAGTGAGCCATGATTGTGCCACTGTCATTCGAGGCTGGGTGACAGAACAAGACCCTGTCTAAAAAAAAAAAAAAGTGGACAAGTTTGTCAGGCAGAAAAAGGAGTAACAGATGTAAGGCAAGGAGACCTGTCTATGCAGTCAAAATACACCAAACAGGAAAGTGGTTTTGAGGAACAGCTTGTATGAAAATTAGTTGAGAGGAAAGCACAAGGAGGATGGAGGAGCATGTAAGAGATGAAGCTAGAAATCTACCAGCTTTGAATCCAGTGCTAGGGAGATTGGGGTTTTTCCTGTGGGCAATGAGAAAACCCTGGAGGTATTTGAGTGACACACTGAAATTTGTGTTTTTGAAAGAATCTCCCTAGTAGTGCCGTGGATTGCAGAGAAGACAGAAAGAACACAGCCTAGTGGCAGTTCCTAGGTAATCTCTCTTCAGCTCCCAAAGAAAACTGGAAAGTAATCATTCCCAGGGTATGTTTGTTGAGCCTGTGAAAACTGAAGGCATTTCATAACAATTTCTTCTTAATTTTCCTCCAAATCTTTAAATTCAGTAAGTCTGTATTATCTTAGGTCTTGAGATGTTAATGACTTTGACTAATTGTCAACACTGGCAATTACAATGACTGATACCTTATCATTTCTTACAATGAGCAATGCTAATTAAAATTGATTGCGCTAAAGCTTTAGCAGCAATTGTACTACTTCGCCCCTCCTTTTTTTTTTTTTTTTTTTTTTTTTTTTAGAAACGTGAGCTTATTGTACTGACTTGGTGAACTATCACAAGGCAGGCTTATTATCCCAGTTTTTATTTTCGATTCTGCTAGTGAAGCACATTAGCAACAATTATAAAGTATCAGGAGAACAGTAAGAGTAACTGAATTTGTGCCATAAGAAAGATTCTAAATTTTGATTGATTGATCAACTCATTTATTCATTCATTCATTCATTCATCTGACAGATCTTCATTAGATATCTATTATATGCCAGGAACTGTGCAAGGCATAGGAGAAGCAAATGAACAACTATGACTTGAAAAATGTCTAGCCTAGTGAGAAAGACAGCCTCATTACAAGATAATTGCATATAGTATGTAAGTGCTACAGTTGATTGACATTAGCTCTGCCTATGAGAGTGCAGTTAGATTTCACAGAGAAGGTGACTTTTGGATGGGAGCTTCAAAATGTAAGCAGAAACTTCCTGCATTGACTATTATTGCTACTCGTCTATACCTGGTAAATTTGTAAGAATTATAAAGTGTCTCAAAAGAAGAGCACATGTAGTATCATAATGATAAATTAGCCAGATAATTAGGAAATCAAGACCAGGAATGATGCTTTGAAAATTCCAGGATGATATGAAAGGAAAGGCATGTCAGATAGGTGGCATGAAGTATGTAAACACTCAAAGAAGGTAAAAGGAGTCAATCACCTGTTTTAGAAAGGGTAAGATCACGCTTGTGTAGAGTACATAGGGGACAGTGGCAGGCAGTTGCTCTGGCTATGCAGTTCAATTAGACAAATACCAACTGAGCTCTGCCCAGAGCCCCCGTTTGAGGTATTCATGCTTTTCCCAGGTGCTGAGAGTGTTGGCCAGCTGTAGGTTGTAGCTGAGTTCCTCTCTAGGCACTGTCACTGGCACAGGGAGTTGTTTTCCACACTGTCTGAAGAAGCAGCTTGCATTCAGTGATCGTCCCAAACCTCTTTCCTGGAAGGATGCAATTTTCAAGGGTTTTCCCAACCCCACAGTTTCTCATACTATCCACTGAAGATCCTCTCCCAACTGCACCACAGTTCAACTTCCCCTCTGCCCAGTCCTGCTTCCCACATCTCCCACAGACATAGTTTCAGAGGGCAGTCCTTGACAAAACTCCTGCTTGCAGATTTCCATCTCAGGCCTGTTTCCCGGGGAACAGAGACTAAAACAAGCATTCATTATGGGCTAGATATGGGGATTCAACAATGCAAAAGATAAGGTCTCTGACCTCAAGAAATTTACAATTTCCTAGAAGGTTAGGGCTTTTAAAAAGGAATGCAGAGACTGCTAAGCCTGTGAAATACGTGAACAGAAGAAGGAGGAAGAGGAGGAAAAAAAGACTTCTGAGTACACAGTCCAAAATTGTGCTCATCAAACAAATAGTTCTTGGGTGTTAAGGTTCTCTATGAATTCATAATAGCTTCAGAGTTAAATAATTTGGGATTATTGGAACTACAGAAAAGAAATTTCCCTTCTAACTGGTCTCCATTTGCCTTTTTTTGTTTTGTTTGAGATGGAATCTCACTCTTGTTGCCCAGGCTGGAGTGCAGTGGCACCATCTCAGCTCACTGCAACCTCCACCTCCTAGGTTCAACTGATTCCCCTGCCTCAGCCTCCCAAGTAGCTGGGATTACAGGTGCTCGCCATCACACCTGACTAATTTTTGTATTTTCAGTAGAGACAGGGGTTTCACTATGTTGTTCAGGCTGGTCTCGAACTCCTGACCTCAGGTGATCCACCCACTCTGCCTCCCCAAGTGCTGGGATTACAGGTGTGAGCCACCGCTCCCGGCTCTCCATTTGCCTATTTAAGGAGACATGGATTCACAACCTCCCAAGGCAACACATTCCAACAGGCAATTTTCCTGATTGGAAAGTCCTTCCTTATATTTTGCTGAAACCTTTCCTCTAGTTCCATACTCTACAGTCATACCAGTTATACAGACATACAGACTTAATTGGCTCTTTTCTTCTTTTTTCTTTCTTTCTTTCTTTCTTTCTTTCTTTCTTTCTTTCTTTCTTTCTTTCTTTCTTTCTTTCTTTCTTTCTTCTTTCTTTTCTTTCTTTCTTTCTTTCTTTCTTTCTTTCTTTCTTTCTTTCTTTCTTTCTTTCCTTCTCTCTCCCTTTCTTCCTTCCTTCCTTCCTTCCTTCCTTCTTTCTTTCTTTCTTTCTTCCTTTCTTTCTTAGAGAAACAGGGTCTTGCTCTGTCACCCAGGCTGGAATACAGTGGCGAGATCTTAGCTCAATGCAGCCTCTACCTCCCCGGCTCAAGCCATCCTCCCGTCTCAGCATCCTGAGTAGCTGGGATTACAGGCAAGCCACACCTTGCCCCGCTAATTTATGCAACTCTTTTATTTATTTGAAAACAATAATAATTTACATATTAAAATTATTTTTAAAAAATTTAGGAGATAATGGAAATTTTAGCATTAACTGGGTATTTGTTGGAATTAAGGGATTTTTTTTAAGATATGATAACAGTTTATGCCCAAGTTTAAAAATATCTTTATATTTTAGACATACATACTGAAATATTTAAGAACAAAATAATGTGATGTGTAGCATTTGCTTCCAAGTAATGTGGAGGAGAGGAGTGGGTGGGACAGAGATAAAACAAGAGTGGCCATGAGTTGTTCACTGTTGAAGATGGATAATGGGGATTTATTACACCTTTCTGATACTTACGGAATTCTTGGAATGTCCCAAAATAAAAATATTTTAATATATTTTTATCTGATTAAAATGATACACATACATCATTAAAAAATATCCTTAGTTTGAAAAAGCCTAATAATGGAAAGCAGTGGTCCCCTGCCTACTTCCTTTCCCCAGTCCAACTCTCCAGAGATAACTAGTTTTAACCTCTTTTTTAGGGGAAGGGGGGCCTTTCTGCAGGTTACCTCTATATCTCTAAATTAACTGCTTATCAAGTTGTCAATTGTTTCTCTATATTATCTGCCGTGACCAGTGAGGATTTTTTCCATTTCATAAACCCACTCTCCCCAATATATATTCTCGGTTCCTCCTCTGATAGCACACTACACATCCATTTTCTGTCCCATCACCCAGAGCCAGTCTCTCTTGACTCCCAGTTTTCTAAGATACTGCCATTACTAAGCTCAGCCTTCAACCCACATTTCTTGCCTACATCCAGCATTGATAGCATTTGTTTTCTGTACTGCAACCATGACTAAGTCTTCAGTGAATTATTGGTAATTTTATTTCAAAACTTAAAAGTTAATCACAGCTATCTATATCCAGAGGAATGAAACTTGATCACTATCTCCCTCACCTTATACAAAAATCAAATCAAAATGGATTAAAGACTTTTGAAACTACTACAAGAAAACACTGGGGAAACTCTCCAGGACATTGATCTGGGCAAAAATTTTTGAGTAATATCTCACAAGCACAGGCAACTAAAGCAAAAATGGACAAATGGATCACATCAAATTAAAAAGCTCCTGCACAGCAAAGGAAATAATCAACAAACTAAAAAGACCACTCATAGTGTGTCTGGAATTTATTCCTTCTGGTGGGTTCTTGGTCTCTCTGACTTCAAGAATGAAGCTGCGGACCTTTGGGGTGAGTGTTATAGCTCTTAAAGATGGTGTTTCTGGAGTTTGTTCCTTCAGACACATCCAGAGTTTCTTCCTTCTGGTGAGTTTGTGGTCTCGCTGACTTCAAGAATGAAGCCGCAGACCTTTGTGGCATGTGTTACAGCTCTTAAAGGTGGTGCAGACCCAAAGAGTGAGCAGCAGCAAGATTTATTGTGAAGAGTGAAAGAGCAAAGCTTTCACAGCGTGGAAGGAGACCTGAGCAGGTTGCCGCTGCTGTCTTGGTTAGCCAGCTTTTAGTCCCTTATTTGGCCCCACCCACATCCTGCTGATTGGTCCATTTTACAGAGTGCTGATTGGTCCATTTTACAGAGTGCTTAGTGCATTTACAATCCTTTAGCTAGACACAGAGTGCTGATTGGTGCGTTTTTACAGAGTGCTGGTTGGTGCATTTACAATCCTTTAGCTAGACACAGAGCACTGATTGGTGCATTTACAATACTCTAGCTAGAGAGAAAAGTTCTCTAAATCCCCACTTGACCCAGTAAGGCCAGCTGGCTTCACCTCTTAATCCCCCCTCTAAACAGGACACCCCAGCTGCTGTTGGGAATTGGGCGATGACTGCTCTAGCTACTTCCTGCTAAGTAGGGGCGAAGAAGGGGCCCTGAAGTTGTAGTATCCTCTGGAGGGGAACTCTTTAGGCCAGTGAAAGGGCCAGTGGATCAGTCCAGGGGCCCTCGGTAGAAGTTGTTAGTTGAGCTCATTTGGGGTTCCATTTGTAAGACCATCTGTAGCTTGATGGCCTTGATCCTAGAGGAAACAAATTTGACAAGGAGGTTAAAAATATAGGGCCCAAAGGTGAGTAATAGCAAGATGGCTGTTATGGGACCTAGAAAGGGGAGAAGCCATGGTGCCTAACTCCAGAGGTTGGTACAAGAGTTTGAAAGGCATTGTCTGATTTCAGAAGCCTTTTCCTGTAAATGCCGGGTAGCATCTCGTACTATCCCTGACTGGTTAGTGTAAAAACAACACTCTTCCCCTAAGAAGGTGCAGAGTCCTCCTTTCTCAGCAGTAAGGAGGTCTAGGCCTCCACGGTTTTGGTGAGTCACTGCTGCCAAAGAGTCTATTTGGGATTGTAGAGTAAGGATAGATTTCATTATTTCTTGCAAACTGTCTGAGAGGCAGATATAGGTTGAAAGTTCAACATAAGAAGAATATGCCTTGGCTGGTAGACAGAAATTTACCCTGCCTTTTAAAGGAATAGGGTACACTGTTTTTTCTTTACTATTTCCATCTCTCTTTCTCTTTGACTTCTTCTTTGTCTCTCTCTGACTCCCTCTTTGTCTCTTCCTCTCTCTCTTTGACTTTGCCTCTCTCTTTGACTCCTTCTTTGTCCATCTCTTCCTCGTTCTGTCTCCTTCTCTTTGACTTCCTGTCTTTCTCTTTCTCTTTCTCTCTTCCTCTCTCTCTCTTTCCTCTCTGCTGGTCTTTCCCTGCCTCTGCCAGCCACTTATGCTGCTGTTCTCCCCTCTTCTTAGTTTATACTAGAAATCATTCTTCTAGGAGTGGCTAGAAAAGCACCAGAGACAGGGAGTAGTTTTTAGAAGCGGGACTAGCCTCAGAGAAGAGAGGTGAGAGGAAGTTTGTCTGACAGGCATTAGGACCCAGGAGGCAAGGGTCAGGATAGAAAGGATAGATGGGCGAGTCTCACTTGGGCAACGTGACTTTGAGACTTCTGCTTGTGGCCACGGGGTCAATCAACTTGTCAGGACCCTGGAGCAGAATGGCTTTCCTCTCTGTCAACCCTTGGCTCAGCCCAGAAGTACAGGAAAAGTGGAAGCTGGTTCCAGGCAAACCAATGCTCCCAACTCCGAAGAGTTGGGGGTTGTTAGAGAGCCCTTTCCCAGAAAGCCTGACACCCATGTCTTTAGTCCGGCAGCCATGCTATTTGCTTTTAACTGCCCAACAGGTGCCCAATATTTAGCCCCCAAATTCTAAGGAAAAATAGGACAGAATAGCAAGCGAAAGGGGTCTGAGAGTGCTCACTGCTTGGTGATAGTTCCTTCGTGGTTGCCAAAATGTGTCTGGAATTTATTCCTTCCAGTGGGTTCTTGGTCTTGCTGACTTCAAGAATGAAGCTGCAGACCTTCGCAGTGAGTGTTACAGCTCTTAAAGATGGTGTGTCCAGAGTTTGTTCCTTTAGATGTGTCCAGAGTTTCTTCCTTCTGGTGAGTTCATGGTCTCACTGACTTGAAGAATGAAGCCACAGACCTTCACAGTGAATGTTACAGCTCTTAAAGGTGGTGCAGACCCAAAGAGTGATCAGTAGCAAGATTTATTGTGAAGAGCGAAAGAATAAAGCTTCCACAGCATGGAAGGGGACCTTAGCAGGTTGCCGCTGCTGTCTCGGGTGGCCAGCTTTTATTCCCTTATTTGGCCCTACCCACATCCTGCTGATTGTTCCATTTTACAGAGTGCTGATAGGTCCAGTTTACAGAGTGCTGCTTGGTGTGTTTACAGTCCTTTAGCTAGACACAGAGTACTGATTGGTGAGTTTTCACAGAGTGCTGATTGGTGTGTTTACAATCCTTTAGCTAGACACAGAGCGCTGATTGGTGCATTTTTACAGAGTGCTGGTTGGTGCCTTTACAATCCTTTAGCTAGACACAGAGCACTGATTGGTGGGTTTACAATCCCCTAGCTAGACAGAAAACTTCTCCAAGTCCCCACTCGACCCAGGAAATCCAGCTGGCTTCACCTCTCAATAGAATGGGAGAAAATATTTGCAAACTACCCATCTGACAAAGGATTAATTACCTTAATATATAAGGAACTCAAACAACTGTATAGGAAAAAAATTCAATGATCCCATTTTAAAATGGGCAAAAGACTTAAATAGACACTTCTCAAAAGAAGATGCACAAATGGTAAACAGGCATATAAAAAGTGCTCAACATAATATATCATCAGAGAAATACAAATCAAAACTACAATAAGAATTTCTTATCCCTGTTAAAAATGTTTTTTATCCAAAATGCAGGCAATAACAAATGCTGGTGAGGATGTGCTGAAAAGGAAGCTGTCACACACTGTTGGTGGGAATGTAAATTAGTACAACCACTATGGAGAACTGTTTGGAGGTTCTTAAAAAAACTAAAAATCGGGCTACCATATGATCCAGTGATCTCACTGCTGGGTATATACCTATATTAGTCCATTATTGCACTGCTATAAAGAAATACCTGAGACTGAGTAATTTATAAAGGAAAGAGGCTTAATTGGCTCATAGTTCTGCAGACTGTGCAAGTAGCATGGCTTGGGAGACCTGAGGAAACTTTCAGTCATGGCAAAAGGTGAAGGGAAAGCAGGCATGTCTTAGATGGCTGGAGCAGGAGGAAGAGAGAGAAGGGGGAGATGCTATACACTTTTAAACAACCAGACCTCATGAGAACTCATTCACTATCATGAGAACAGCAAGAGGGAAATCTGCCCCGTGATCCAATTACCCCCCACCATGCCCCTCCTCTGACATAGGGGATTACAATTTGACATGAGATTTGTGTGGGGACACAAATTCAAACCATATCAATACCCAAAGAAAGGAAATCAGTATACTGAAGAGTTATTTGCCCTCCCATGCTTGTTGCAGCCCTGTTCACAATAGCCAAGATTTGGAAGCAACCTAAGTGTCCATCAACAGATAAATGAATAAAGAAAATATGGGTACTTTTACACAATGGAGTACTATTCAGCCATGAAAAAGAGTGAGATCCTGTCATTTGCAACAACATGGATGGCACTGGAGGTCATTATGTTAAGTGGAATAAGCCAGACACAGAAAGACAAACATGATGTGTTATCACTTACTTGTGGGATCTAAAAATCAAAACAATTGAACTCACAGAGATAGAGAATAGAATTATGATTACCAGAGGCTTGGAATGGTAGTGGGGGAAAGGGGAGAGACAGGGATAGTTAATGGAAAAAAGAAGAAGGAATGAATATGACCTAGTATTTGATAGTACAACAGGGGGACTATAGTCAATAATAATTTAATGTACATTTAAAAAACTGAAAGAGTATAATTGGATTATTTGTAACACAAAGATAAATGCTTGTTGGGATGGGTACTCAATTTTCCCTGATGTGGTTATTATGCATTGCATGTCTGTACCAAAACACCTCATGCACCCCATAAATTTATGTACCTACTGTTTACCCATAAAACTTTAAAAAAAATTAATCATAGCATTTGACTTGTTCTTACTAGGTAACGATGAGCACAGCAGAGCCAAGTATCATGCTCAGATTAGGCCTCCATCTCTTTAGGTACTATGTCAAATCCTTGTATCACTCGGAGAGGGAAGACTTCAGCATCAAGTTTAAATGGAATCTTCCTTTTCACACTCAACCAATTGCCTTTTCTACAGCATCAGCATTTCCCAAGTTCTAAATGATACTAACTAATCTTTTAAACCCCATTATCACCTTCACTACCATCTCCACCTGTTTTTACTTGGTGACCTTCTTCCACAGGCCTGGGCACCTGAGCCAATCTGCACTTTTTAAATATTCCAGCTGTTGTCCTAGGACATTATGGGGTAAAATATCCTCCTCCTTGGTCTGCTACCCCCTTTCACAAGACAGCTTCCTAAGAAAGCTAGGTAAACTTTCTGAGTCCCTGCCTATTCTAAATCTATCCATTTAATTAGCTGGGAAGGAATTTCAAGGACTCATTTTCCCTCAAAATGTTTTGCTTTCTTCTTTTTTAAAAAATAATTTCAACTTTTATTTTAGATACAATGGGTACATGTGCAGGTGTGTTACATGGGCATATTGTGTGACACTGAGATTTGGGTATGGATCCCATCACCCAGGTAGTGAGCATAGTACCAAACAGGTAGTTTTTCAACCCACACCTTCCTCCTTTCCTCCCCACTCTGGTGGTCCACAGTGTCTATTGTTCCCATCTTTATGTCCACTACTACCCAATGTTTAGCTCCCACTTACAAGTGAGAATATATGGTATTTGGTTTTCTGTTTTTGTGTTAATTCACTTAGGAACAGGGTCACTAGCTGCATCTATGTTGCTGCAAAGGACATAATTTTGTTCCTTTTATGGCTGCATAGTATTTCATGGTATATATGTACCACATTTTCTTTATATAATCCACCGTTGATGGGCACCTAGGTTGATTCCATGCCTTTGCTAATGTGAATAGCACTGTGATGAACATATAAGTATATGTGTCTTTTTGGTATAATGATCTATTTTCCTTTGGGTACGTACCCAGTAATGGTATTGCTGGGTCAAATGGTAGTTCTGTTTTCAGTTCTTTGAGAAATCTTCAAACAGCTTTTCACAGTGGCTGAACTAATTTACATTCCCACCAACAGTGTATAAGCATTCCCTTTTCTCCACAGCCTCACCAGCATCTGTTATTATTTGACTTTTTAATAATAGCCATTCTGACTGGTGTCAGATGATATCTCAATCCGGTTTTGATTTGCATTTCTCTGATGATTAGTGATGATGAGCATTTTTTTAAAATGTTTGTTGGCTGCTTGCATGTCTTCTTTTGAGAAGTGTCTGTTTATGTCCTTTGCCCATTTTTTTGGAGGGGGAGATTGTCTTTTGCTAATTAATTTCCTTAAATTCCATATAATCTGGATATTAGATCTTTGTCAGATGTGTAGTTTACAAGTATTTTCTCCCATTCTGTTGGTTGTCTGTTTATTCTGTTGATAGTTTCTTTTGCTGTGCAGAAGCTCTTCAGTTTAATTAGGTACTGTTTGTCAATTTTTTGGTTTCGTTGCAATTGCTTTTGGGCACTTAGCCAAAAATTATTTGTCAAGGCCAATGTTGAGAAGGATATTTCCTAGATTTTCTTCTAGGATTTTTATAATTTGATTTCTTACATTTATATTTTTATCTTGAGTTAATTTTTGTATATGCTGAAAAGTAGTGGGTCTAGTTTCATTCTTCTGCATATGGCTAGCCCGTTATCCCAGCACATTTATTTAATAGAGATTCCTTTCCCCATTGCTTACTTTTGTTGGCTTTGTCAAAGATCAGATGGTTGTAGATGTGTAGCTTTTTTTCTGGGTTCTCTGTTCTATTCCATTGGTCTTTGTGTCTGTTTTTGTACCAGTACCATGCTATTTTGGTTACTGTAGCCTTTTAGTATAGTTTGAAGTTAGGTCTTGTGATGCCTAGAGCTTTGTTCTTTTTTTCTTTTTTTTTTTTTTTTTTTTGTTTCTTAAGATTACTTTCGATATTCAGGTTTTCTGTTGTTGTTACATATGAGTTTTAGAATAGATTTTTCTAATTCTGTGAAAAATGGTATTGGTAGTTTGATAGGAACAGTGCTGAACCTGTAGATTACTTTGGGCAGTATGGTCATTTTAATGATATTAATTCTTCCAATTCATGAGCATGGAGTGTTTTTCCATTTATTTGTGTTGTCTCTGATTTCTTTCAGAAGTGTTTTGCTGTTCCCCTTGTAGAGTTCTTTCACCTCCTTGGTTAGTTGTATTCCTAGTTATTTCCACTTTTTATGGCTATTGTAAATGGGATTGTGTTCTTTGATTCTCAACTTGAATGTTACTGGTGTATAGAAATGGTACTGATTTTTGTACTCTGATTTTGTATCCCAAAACTTTACTACAGTCAATTATCAGTTCTAGTAGCCTTTTGATGAAGTTTTTAGGGTTTTACAGATATAGAAATATATCATGAGTGAAGAGAGGTAGTTTCACTTTTTCTTATTCTATTCGGATGCTTTTTTATTTCTTTCTCTTGCCTGATTGCTTTGGCAATCTTCCAGGACTATGTTGAATGGGAGTGGTGAGACTGGGCATCACTGTCTCATCCCAGTTCTCAAGGGGAATGGTTTCAGCTTTTGCCTGTTCAATGTGATGTTGGCTGTGGGTTTGTCATAGATAGTTATTATTTTGAGGTATGTTCCTTTGATGCCTCATCTGTTGAAGGCTTTTATAAAAAAGGATGTTGGATTCTATCAAGAGCTTTTTCTGCATCTATTGAGATGATCATTTTTACTTTTAATTGTGTTTATGCGGTAAATCACATTTATTGATTTGCATATGTTGGACTAGCCTTGCATCCCAGAAATAAAGCCTACTTGATCATGGTGTATTAACTTTTATATGTGCTGCTGGATGCAGTTTGCTAGTATATTGTTGAGAATTTTTGAATCTATGTTCCTCAGAGATATATGGTCTGAAGTTTTCTTTTTTCATTGCATCTCTGACAGATTTTGGCATCAGACTGATTCTGGCTTCATAGAATGAGTTAGGGAGGAGCCCCTCCTCCTTGAGTTTTTAGAATAGTTTCAGTAGGATTGGCACCGGTTGTTCTTTGTACATCTTGTATAATTTGGCTGTCCATCCATCTGGTCCGCGGTTTTTCTTTTCTGGTTGGTAGGTTTTTTGTTACTGATTGAATTTTGGAATTTGTCAATCATCTGTTCAGGTTTTCACATTCTTCCTGGTTCAATCTTAGGAGGTTGTGTGTTTCTAGGAATTTATCCATTTCCTCTAGAATTTCTAATTTGTGTGCATAGAGTTGTTCAAAATAATCTCTGAGCGTATTTTGTATATCTGTGGGATTGGTTGTAATGTCATCTTTGTCATTTCTGATTATACTTATTTGGATCTTCCTTTTTTTGTTAATCTAGCTAGTGCTCTAGCAATCTTGTTTATTCTTTGAAAAACCAATGTTTGGTTTTATTGATCCTTTGTAAGGATTTTTATATCTCAATTTCAATTCTTCTCTAATTTAGGTATTTATTCTCTTTTGCTAGCTTTGGGGTTGGTTGGTTCTTTTTTTTCTAATTCCTCTAGGTGAAAAGTTAGATTGTTATTTTGAGATCTTTCTAACTTCTTGATGAAGGCATGTAGTGTTATAAACTTTCCTCTTAACACTGCTTTAGCTGTATCTCAGAGATTTTGGTAAGTTGTATCATTATCTTCATAAATTTCAAACAATTTTTTTATTTCTGCCTTAATTTTGAGGTTCATCCAGGAGTTATTCAAGAGCAAGTTGTTTAATTTCAATGTATTTATGTAGTTTTGAGAGATCTTCTTGATACTGATTTCTGTTTTTATTGCACTGTGATCTGAGTGTGTGCTGGGTATTATTTCAATTTGTTTAGAGTCATTGAGACTTGCTTTATGACCAAGTTTGTGGTCAATCTTAGAACATGTTTTGTGTGCAGATGAGAAGAATGTATATTCTTTGGTTGTTAGGTGTGGTATTCTATAGATGTCTATTAGGTCCAATTGGTCTAGTGTCAACTTTAAGTCCAGAATTTCTTCGCTAGTTTCCTACCTTGTTGATCTAACACTGTCAATGGGTTGTTGAAGTCTCTGACTATTATTGTTTGGCTATGTAAGTCTTTTTGTAGGTCAAGAGTGACTTGTTTTATAAATCTGGGTGCTCCAATCGTTGAGTGCATGTATATTTAGGAGACTTAAGTCTTTGTGTTAAATTGTACCCTTTATCATTATGTAATACCATTTTTTTGTTCTTAATAGTTGTTAATTTAAAGTCTGTTTTATCTAGTATAAGAATAGCAACTCCCGGCCACGAGTGGTGGCTCATGCCTATAATCCCAGCACTTTGGGAGGCCGAGGTGGGCAGATCACGAGGTCAGGAGATGGAGACCATCCTGGCTAACATGGTGAAACCCCGTCTCTACTAAAAATAGAAAAAAGTAGCCAGGCATGATGGCATGTGCCTGTAGTCCCAGCTACTCAGAAGACTGAGGCAGAAGAATCACTTGAACCTGGGAGGCATAGGTTGCAGTAAGCCGAGATCATGCCACTCACTCCAGCCTGGGTGACAGAGCAAGACTCCATCTCAAAAAAAAAAAGAAAAAAGAAAGAATAGCAACTCCTGCTGTTTTTTTGTTTTCCATTTGCATAGTAGATCTTTCTCCACCTTTTTACTTTGAGCCTGTGGGTATAATTACATGGGAAACAGCAGTCAGGTCTTGTCTCTTTGACTGGCCACTCTATGTCTTTTAAGTGGGGAATTTAGCCCATTTACATTCAGTTTTAGTATTGATATATGAAATTTTGATCCTGTCATTGTGATGGTAGCTGGTTGTCATGTAGACTTGATTTTGTAGTTGCTTTACAGTTTCTGTGGGCTATGTGTTTAAGTGCGTTTTTGTGGTAGAAGGTGTCATTCTTTTGATTCTGTTTAGCACTACCTTAAGGACTTTTTGCTCTTGTGTGACTGATCTAGTTGTAATGAATTCCCTTGGCATTTGCTTTTCTGAGAATAATTTTAGTTTATGAAGCTTAGTTTGGTGGGATATGAAATTATTGGTTAGAATTTCTTTTTTTAAGGATACTGAAAATAGATCCCCAATCTCTTCTGGTTTTTAAAGTTTCTGCTGACAGTTGTGCTGCCAGCCTGATAGAGTTCCCTTTGTATATGACCTGACCCTTCTCTCTAGCTGCCTTTAAGATTTTTTTTTTATTTTGCATTGACCTTAGTGAATCTGATGAGTATGTGCCTTGGAGATAGTCATCTTGCATAGTATCTAGCCAGGGTCAACTGTATTTCTTGAATTTGAATGTCAACCTCTCTAGCTATAATAGGGAAATTTTCATAGACTATATCCTCAAACTTGTATTTTCCAAGTTGCTTACTTTCTTTTCTTTTCTCTCAGGAATATCAATGAGTCATAAGTTTGGTCTCTTTACATAATGCCACATTTCTTGAAGGTTTTTTTCATTTGTTTAATTCCTTTTTCTTTATTTTTGTCTGACTGAGTTGATTCAAATAACCAGTCTTTAAGCTCTGAGATTATTTCCTCAGCTTGGTCATCTATTCTGCTGTTAATACTTCCAATTGTATTATAAAATTCTTGAAGTTAATTTTCCAGTTCCAGAAGTTCTGTTTTGTTGTTTACTAAACTGGCGATTTTGTCTTTCAGCTCTTGGATTGTTTTACTGGATTCTTTGGATTGGTTTCAATTTTCTCCTGAATCTCATTGAGCTTCCTTGTCATCCAGATTCTGAACTCTATGTCTGTCATTTCAGTCTGATTGACAACCACTGCTGGGTAGCTGGTGGCCTCATTTGGAGGTAAGGAGATACTCTTGCTTTTTTAACTGCCAGAGTTCTTGCACTGACTCTTTTTCATCTTGGTAGAGCGCTGGTGTTCCTTTCACTGTGGCATAAGTTGAGGATAGTCAATTGTATTCATTTTTGGATGCTCTTAGAGGGCAAAGGCTCTGTACAAGATCTTTATTTGTGGATGAATTCTTATGCTTGGTTTCACAAGGATATATATTTTTGGTGTTGTAGTTTGGGCTGCAATCCAGTAGGTGAAGCTTAAGAGTAGTGGCCAGTAGATAAGGTCTTATTCAGCCACATGGCTCTTTTGTATTTCCTTGCATTCACAGGTGTGCTGTGTGGTGGAGGGTGGGGAGAGATGACCCACTCAGCAGGTTCACTCCTGGCCTTTCAGGGAGCCCCCTCCCATCACTGACACTGCACTCATGTTTCTTTTGTTAGTGTGCCAGGTTGTGGGGCTCGCTCGGGCAGAGGACACAGCAGGGAGATAGACCACGTTCTTTCAAGACAGGCCCAGCAGAGGGAGGCATGCCTTGCTCCCACGCCAGCCCATGAACCCACATGTCTCACACCTCTCAGTGTTCTAAGAGTAGGGGCTCCTCCTCTGCTCAAATGCGGGCCACAGATCTTGGCTTGGCACTCTTAAGCTGGATGCTACAGTGCTGGGATGCCAGGATGGCCTGTGGCTCAGGATCAGGCTCTCTCTGTGCTTGGGGATCCAAACTACTGCCAGATCACCAAGAAATTATTCAGGCAGAGCAGGGTACTCAGGCTGGGCTGCAGAGGCTGTCCTGTGTACTCATTCCTGCAGGGAAGCTAGACAGGGCCCTGGGAGGGGCTAGTAGGCAGGAGGGTCTGCAAAATAGACATCCCAGTCCTGCAGGAAAGCTATCCCTGTTCTCTCCTGTCTGGCAGTCAACTGAGGCTAAAGCCTCTCAGAGGGATATGGGAAGTCCTGGGGGATGGACACCTATGGCTGCGCTCCACTGGAGCTTCCCCCCACACAAAAGCTCCTGGGCTACATACACCCTGGCTGAAGCCTTGTCTCTGCCTACCCCTGGGCAAAGCCCCTTGCCAGTTCACATGCCCATGGGGGACACAGGGTCCCCTGTGTCTAGAATCCCAGTGGTCTGTGGTGAGAATGGGCTATCCCTTGGTCTCCTTATTCACTCCTTTCCCAGGAGCCATTCAGGTACCTTGTGCAGGGTTCCCAGCTTCTTCCCACTTCAGCCTCATCATTAGTGTCACCTTTCCATCCACTCTCCATGTTTTGTCTCCATAGACCTGCCCAAATTATGTTGGTTTATTCCATAATTTGTTCTCTGTCAGTGGGAGCAGCACTCCTGGCTGCATCTAGTAGGCCATCTTGTCTTTTATCTGCTTTTTTCTTCAATTTATTTCTTTAACTTTATTTTCTTATGCTACTAGAGATTTTTCTTGTACTGTTTTCTTTGCAATCATATTTTAATAGCCAAGAGTTTGTTCTATTTTTACCCATTTTTTTAAAGTGCTTCTTATGTTTAATGGTTGCAATATGTTCTTGACTGTTTTAAAGGAAACTAATTGGATGTTTTAAAAATTCTCTTTTGATTCCTGAATATTTCTATCCCTTCCATGTTTACACCTTTGTGGCAATATATTATGATCTTTCACTTTATTGTTGCTGGTGTTCCTCAGCTCTCTAATCACCCCTGGCTGCCTACTTCTGTTTCAGAATGAGATGTTCGGAAGCCTATTAAGGGCTGTGAGGAGGTAGGTGGGGCCCACAGGCTGGCAGGTGTTGCTGAGACAACCAAGCAGGGACTTTACTGGGGCAGATGCCTGGCAGCTGGCTTCTTAGTGCTGGCTTTGAGGCATGGGGCTGACTGACTCTTCTATCTACAGGTTTCTAATTAATCTTCCCATTTTCATCCTCACAACTCATTCCACATCTTCTATCACACTTACTTTCCCAAGCATGGAAACTTTCAGGAACTCAGCAGTGCAGGCAGACTTTCTTCATTCATCAGTAATCAGTACTCCCTCCTCTCTATTTTTCAGAGAATTTTAAAATGTCTTATCTACTGACAGTTCCCTTTTCATGTTTGACATAGTTGTGGGTTTATATTCTTTTTATTTCTTCACCATATGTAGTACCAAATGGGTACTTCTCCCATTTGGTACCAAGTGAGAGAAGTACCAAATGGAAGAAGAGATTTTATTTATTTCCTTATTTAAAGACCCATGGTTACTCCATTCACTTTTCCTAATATCCTGATTGGCCACTGCAGAAATATATAGAGAAATGGGTTAAAGTTTTTTCCCCACCCCCAACAAAAAGATATCTTGAAGTCCAAGTACCCAGTACCTTAGAAAATGACCTTATTTGGAAATAGAGTTTTTGCAGATGTAGTTAATTAAATTAAGAAGTGGTAATGCTGGCATAAGATAGTCCCCTAATCCAATACAACTGGTTTCCTTATAAGAAGACAGTCATCTGAAGACCAAGAGATGCAAAGGGGAGAATACCATGTGACGATGAAGGCAGAGATTGGAGTTATGTAGCTGCAAGTCAAGGAATGCCATGAGTTGCCTGCAAGCCACCAGAAGCTAGAAAAATGTAAAGGAGGATTCTCTCCTACAAAGTTCAGAGGCAGTATGATACTGCTGACATCTTGGTCTCAAACTTCTAGCCTCCAGAATGTTGGACAATAAATTTCTATTATTTTAAGTCATCCAGTTTGTGGAACTTTCTTATCTTAGCCCTAGGAAACTAATGCAATAGAGGGAGAAGATGATCAAGAACTTGCTAAGCATTCCATTCAGAGATACTGATGTGACCTACAGAAATACCCACTTTGAAACCACAACAATAGGTTAAAATTACTTACTTCTGAAAATTAGATTGGGGGAAGGAAGTAGGCAGGGAACTGTTGCTTTTCAGTATAAGACTTGCTGTACTATCGCATGGTTTTCAACCATCTTCTCACATCCTTAGACATCATTCTAGTTGGACTAAGACACATGGCAAAGGAGAATGTAGTTTCAAAATAGAATGAAGAATCCCAACAGCTGACCTTAAGATGAAATAAACTTCAGCTCGATGTAGTCACAAGAGTCCTTAAAAGTGGAAGAGGGGAGCATAATATGGGTCAGAGAAAGAGAGATACTGTTGAAAACAAATCATTGGAGTGATGAAGTGATGTGATATGAGAAGCCTCACTCATCATCACTAGCTTTGAAGATAAGGGAAGGAGAACACAAGCCTAGAAATCTGGGCGGCCTACAAACAATGGAAAAGGAAGGAAACATTCTCTCCTGGAGTCTTCAGAAAGGAATGCACCTCTCCTGACATCTTGATTTTAGCCCAGTGAGACCTGTGTCAGACTTCTGAACCATAGAACTGTGAGATATAAAATTTGTGTTGTTTTAAGGCACAAAACTTGCAATAATTTGTTATAACAGCAGTAGAAAACTAATACACCATTCCTCTAAAGTGTAGGCTCAAAGCTGAAGTATAGTTCCCAGCTAAGAACCAGCCATTGCTGAGTACCTTGGACTTTTCTTTTCTATCTTCGATCCTAATTTCACTGTATAGCCCACATTTGCTTTTGTAGCTGCCACCTAGTGCTGTTTTCTCATATTGAATTTTCAGAAAATGAAAAACTGTAAGACCGTAATTGCATGTGGAAAGATTACATTTACCACATTGCTATTTCCATCATAACATAGTATGGACCTTGGAGTCAGGAAGAACTGGGTTCTAATTCCCATTCACCTATTTACAAGCTATGTGACCTTGAATGAGCCATTTCACCTCTTAAGTTTACATTATATGAACAAAGTAAAGCCAGTGACAGTACCAACCTCATGGGGTTACCATGTTAGCTAAATGAGATGATATCTTCAAGGAACTTAGTACAGTGCCTGACTCATCTTAAACTTGAAAAGCGAAGGAGTAGGCTGATGTTCAGTTTAATCCAGAAACTCTGCTTCCTGTTGCTATTCCCAAAGGCTTAGAATGAAAATTATATGTCTCTCCCACTTTGTTTTCTATGCATAATTATATATATGATGGCCTGGAATATGCTAAACAGGCGTGTGTGCGTGTGCTTGTGCTTGTGTTGAACCTAATTCATGGCTTACAAGCACTACTAAAACAATATTAGATGAAGTTTAAATATTCAGAACATAAACTTTAGCATTAATTCAGTGGTTCTTATTTGGTAACAACACTTTTCTCCCATATCTCACCTGCATGGCCCTGGCCTGAGGACTGTGAACGATGCTCTCAGAGTGGCTAAAGATGATGAAGAGCGTGTGCTTCTACCTACAATCTTGTCCACATTCCCTGTTCTGGAGTCTTCAGCCTATTCCACAGTTAATAGGTGCCTTTAGCTATCAGCTGCCCACTTATTATTGAAATAATCCATGTACAGAACCTTTTCTGATTTCAAGATGTGGAGAGGAATCTTAGTTTCTTTATCTCACCCTCACCAACAACTTTGTCTCCCTACCTCATCCTCCCTTGAGAGAACACCTACAGAAGATTAAGAGAATGGGCTATGGGGTCTCATTCAGATCAGATCTAGATTCAAAACTTGGCCACTTAGGAGCTATTTGAGCAAGTTGTTAAACTTCTCTGTATACCATATTCATTCTCTAGAAAATGAAGATAACAGTTGCCTCACAGGTGGCCAGGTGCGGTGGTTCATGCCTGTAATCCTAGCACTTTGGGAGGCCGAGGCAGGCGGATCACGAGGTCAGAAGATCGAGACCTTCCTGGCTAACACAGTGAAACCCCATCTCTACGAAAAATACAAAAAAAAAAATTAGCCGGGCATGGTGGCAGGCGCTTGTAGTCGCAGCTACTCAGGAGGCTGTGGCAGGAGAATGGTGTGAACCCGGGAGGCGAAGTTTGCAGTGAGCCAAGATCTCTTCACTGTACTCCAGCCTGGGTGACAGAGCAAGACTCCAAAAAACAAAGAAAAAAAAAACAAAAAACAGTTGCCTCACTGGACGAATGCCAGAGAAGATACATGGAAAATACTAAGCGAGATGCTTGGCATTGTAAGGCTAATAATACTATTAATAATCATCACATCAATACTACTTTATTGCTTCTGTTTTCTCTCCAACAATACCCTCCAGCCTTCCTCAGGCCTCTTTTCCTAGTCTACCCCCTGAGGTCCCATCTCTAGAGGTATTTCTCTGCTATGCTGAATTATAGCCTTTATGATGTTAAGTGACTAACTGGTCCCCATAGTTTATATTACATTAGTTATTGAGGCAAGCAAAGAATGTTCTTCAATATGGCATCATTTAATAAAAGCCTAACCTGCCCCCTACCTGGCAAGGATGATGGGAGCTTATTAAGATAATGTCTTTCTAGTACTTACAGCCCCTTGAAAGGCATTCACTAAATAAACAACAGCGTTTGAGTTTACTGTTGTTTGTTTTAGTTCTCAATGCATGCTCTCTGAGTGGATTAATGGGTCCTCTGCAATGCCTCTCACAATATGGGCACTTGTTAAATGCTGTTAAATGCAGCATGGTAGTAAATGTTGCCCATATGTGCCTCTGCTTTGCTCTTTCCCTTCCTCTTTCTCTACTTCTTTCTATGAATCCTGGAGTCTCCTCCCCCTTCTAGGTTTCATGTCTGTGGATTTTCAACCTTGTCTGCACATCAGAATCACTTAGGAAGCTTTTTGAACTCCAAACCATACCCTAGACCAATTGAACCAAGCCTCTAGAAGCAGTACCCAGACATCAATGTTTTCTAAAGTTTTCCAGATGATTCCAACGTGTAGCTGAGAATTGCCATACTCATGATTCTAATATAACCTACCAGATCCCAAACAAATGATACCCGTGGACAAATATTTAGTATTTTACTTCTACTCAACTATGAGCTCCTTGAGGGCTGGTACTATCTTATTCTTCTTTGCTCCCAATGAATAACAGTACCTTGCAAAGAATGAGCATTCAATCCATATTTCTTTTGACTGAAGGTATACCCTTCCCAACCCAAAGGATTTCCCCATGCCTCTGATTTCTATAATAATTGCAGTGAATATCTCTAATTAATTCTAATTATCAGTTGGTCGTTCAGAGTATCTCAGCTAAGCAATTCTATTATTTAAGAGTAATTTTTTGCATGGTTTTGTGGGGAAAACAGATCATTGCCACGTGGTATGAATGCTACTGTCACCCAAGGTGTGCACATAGTGTTGTGGCGGTCCAGAGGAAGGCCTGGAATGCAGAAATATAGGGAGGAAAGAGCACAGACCTTCCAGTCACACAGACCCAGGTTCAGATCTCAACCACCGTGTGTCTATAGGACGTTGTCATTGTCTCTTGAGCCTTGGTCTCCTTTCTGTGAAAGAGGGGATGATGCCTACTACTCAGGTGTTAGGGTCACTGAAGGACTTAATGTAAAGAAAGAGAGACAGTGACTGTATTAGTCCACTTGGGCTGCCATGACAAAATACCATAGACTGGTGGCTTAAGACAGCCATTTTATTTTTCTCAAAGTTCTGGAAGCTAAAGTCCAAGATCAAGGTATCATCAGGATTGGTTTCTAGTAAGGCCTCTCTTTCTGTTTCACAGGTGGCCACCTTCTTGCTGTGTTCTTACATGGTGGAGAGAGGGCCAGAGAGAGCTTTCTGTTGTCTCTTCTTATAAGGACACTGTTCCTATCTCCTATCAAATCAGTGCCCCACCCTTATGACCTCACTTAACCTTAATTACCTTCTTGTCAGCCCTATCTCCATATACAGTCACAATGGAGCTTAGGGCTTCAATACATGAATTTGGGAGGAGAACGCAGTTTAATCCATAGCCTCCTTCTCTCTTTCTCTTTCTGTATGTTCCAGTTCCCCTTGAGAGAATCAGAAAAGCTTTAGAGAAAGGAGAAATTAGAACTAGTTCTTGCAGGTTGAATAGGAATTTCTTGGGCAAACAGAGAAAAGTCATTCCAAGCGGAGGAGATAGCACTTAAAGCCCATTGAAAGGCATGGCATATTTGGAGATCAGCAAAAATTTCACCAGAATTGGGAGGTGAGTAATGGTAGAAAATGAAAGAGATGTAATTTTGAGGCATATCATTAACAGTCAAGGATGCCAAGCTGAGGACTTGAGATTTTTCCCTTGGGCCAATAGTTATCGTTTTCTGGTGCTGCCCTCTTCTTTTCCCAGCTAGATGGTTGAGTTCTCAGGGGCAAGGGCCTTACCAAATGTCTCTTTGTAATCCATTGCTCATCTAAGTCACTGACTTAAAAATGTAACAGGAATTGCTGCATGCCTTGGTATATAAGAGCTATCCTATCTGTTTCATATGTTTAATTTGAACTAAAGCCATCTGGAGCCTCCTTTGATCAGATTGGTATGAAATCCAGTATTTCTCTACTGAGACTCGATCATTCTTATCTGCTTCTTGATTGTCAAAGAGCTTTGGGTCTTAAATATTTTGAACAGAAGGTCTTCTCTTCCTGAATGGAAAGGGCCCTGGTGTCTGCTTGCTGCAGCAGGTTCTCCACAATGCCTTGTAGGCACTTGCATCAGAACAGCTCTGCTCGTCCTTCATCACCTGGCCACACAACTTCTGCATGCTGTAGCAAAGCCTCCCTGCCCTATGTTGCTATGTCTTGCTGGCTTGTCTCCCCATATAATGAGCTCCACTTCATTCCTTAAATGCTATGTTTATCCCAGGATAGCCTCAGTTGTAACTCTGGCTCCAGTCCTTAACTCTTGGTCCTTGCACACACACAGAATTATTGTCTAAAGCATTGTTCTCTACTTCTGGGTGCTGTTTTGCTACTGGCTTAGCTGTCTGTCCCTTCCAGCCCCAAATTTGTTTCTATTTCTTCTTGAAGTTTTGCATGTTTCTATTAATAATCTTCAAAGCACAAAGCTTTATTCCTGTCCCTCACTTGGGCAATCTGAATTAATTGTGCTGATGGGCTTGACCACTGAAGCACAAATGCCTGTTTAAAATAAAAGGCTGATTATTATATAATGAACTATATTCAGTTTATTAAATAGTTAATTTAAACATAAATATATGTATATATTTGTGCTGAATAGATGTATAATTTATGCTAATGATAATTACAAATAATACAAAAGCATAATAACTCCACTGCAGCGCTGGTATTCATTATCAATGCTTCATTTCGCTTCTGCTCAACAGTCGTATAGTGACAATATGACATGCTTCAGGAACTGTGCTGGGCATTGAGGACATAGAGATAGTTGTGATATCATCCTTGTCCTCAAAGCAATTGGAGTTGAGTGGGAGACTGAGACAGGTATATGGTAATAGCTAATGTACCAGGGAAGCCCTTATTAAGGAGTGATTAAGCTGACACTTATTTTATCACGACTCTGTAGAGCTTCCTTATTTACTGTGCTGTTTCTATGTTAGCCTTGTGTTACGTTGTCCACCTCTAGAACCTACCTTCGCCCTTATTTTCTTAGACAATTCCTTCTGAGTTATATTAGGTAAATTAGTTAGGCTTGACTATGTTCTGCTGTTGAAATAAAATATCCCCAAATCTCTGGATGTAGGTATTGACATGCCAAAGTTTGGTTTTTCTTACTTGCATGAAGCCCAGTGTTAGGGAACAGAGACTGTTCCATGTGGTCACTTGAGAATCCAGGATCTCTGGGCTTCCTGCTTCATAGAAATTGTAATGCCACTATCTCAATATATGGTGCAATAGAAGTTGCATGTTACATCAGCTTTTCATTGTTCCTACCCAGAAGTGACACATACATTTCTTCTCACAGACCATTGGTCAGAGCTACTAACAGGGCTTCAAACCAACTGCAAGCAAGACTGGAAAATGTAGTGAAGCCAATGGATTATTTGCTGATTGTTACTGTGGCCACCATTGGAATAGTGATTTTCAAGTATGAACTTTGAATAATCTGAATGCTGATTATCTGTTAGTTATTCTTGGGGTCTCCAAGGGGAGAACAATAATAGTACCCCATTTTCATGCTGAGTTCTGAAGATATTAAGAAATAAAATAATAAAGACAGAGGCCGAAATAGTATTTATATTGGTGACTGAGGAGCAGTTACAGGAAGTGGCCTTATTAGCCAAGTGGACCCTTTGATGAAATCCCAGAATTAGGCTGACTCCTGGACCAGGCAAGACTGATAGCCTGATGAAACAGAGAACTCATGGCTTCTACAAGACCGCTGACCCCTGAGAAAGGAGGATGAAAAGCAGAGATGAGCAGAGCTTACTCTTTGCCTCCTTACCAATTAGATCAGTCATTCCACTGCTCCAGGAGTTGGACAAGTAAATAAGATGCAAGAAACACTGATGTGCTTGCCAAAGAAGCTCATGGTGGGGAAAAAGAGTCTTCCAGTAATTCTTGAGTGTCTTATCATTTAAGTCAGTTACGAGGCCTCTCTGAGTGTCAATTTGCTCATCCATAAAATGGCAATCATAATATCTCACAATATCTCTTCTTGGGTCTTTTATAACTGCTGGAAGTTAGAAGATGTGCTGGACTTGTAATGAGAAAGAGTTTTTCAAATGCCTTCTATAAAATGCTCATGAATACTTGAGACAGAATTACTTCTAGTTTATAGAGACCAGATGGTGTAAACACATTTTCCACCCCCAACACACACATAATTTAAAAAATCTTTTAAGCTGATTCTCTCTGAAAACCTGCCCCCCTATTACTCAATAAACATTTTCTCAACAACCCTCTAGGGTGGTTCCAGTTCCTAATGGTAAATGTCTGAAACCACCCTTTTCCAGCAAAAATGAAAGCTATCCTCTTAATGTCTCTCCATGCAGGTTTCTATTTTAACTCTTTCATGACTGTTTCCATGTGGATGTGACTGGCGCTCAAGAATAGAAAATACCCAAATCAAAATAGTGACTTTTAGAAAAGTTGGCCTTTCATTTTCCTAGTGAAAGACTAATTAGTCTATGACTAGAAAGCCTAAGGTTGATCCTTCACAAATAAGACATTAGTTTTTTCAAATCTGAAAGAATTTTAAAAGTAAAATGCTTTAAATGAAACTATTAAATTATACAACTACATGTGTAGACTCTGCCATTGAGGGAGTTATTTTCATGGTACAGGCTGAATCCAGCATAAAAATATTTACTGCTCCGAAATGTCAATATGAAATAATCAGAATCTAAAATTAAATATTTACTGTATAATCAGCCTGCATTCATCCATCCACAATGTTCCCTGAGAAACACTGATTACACTGAATGTGACCACCTGGATTCCTCCTAATATTTTCAGGATTAGAAAAAAACCTGCCAAACTCTCATTCACAGACATTTTCTAACAACTTGCCAAGGAGAGGACTTTGTGGAGCAGAGAAGTATGCAATGGTGATGGTGATTACTTAAGTAAGTTTCAAATAACACATACACTGCATTAGAACCAATGTTTATGCTCCTTCCTGTTCCTATTTGAAACCTAATCCCCAATGTGATGGTAGTTGGAGGTGGAGCCTTAGGAAGAGTAGAGCCCTCATGATTATGATTAGTACCTTTATAAAAGAGTCTTCATTGAAGTCCCATGCCCCTTCTGTCATGTGAGGACACAGCGAGAAGAAGATGGCCATCTATGAACCAGGAAGTGGACCCTCACCAGACACCTAATTTGCCAGCACCTTGATCTTGGACTTCCCATCCTCCAGAAATGTGAGAAATAAATTTCTATTGTTTATAAGCCACCCACTCTATGGTATTTTGTTAAAGCAGCCCAAATTAACTATGACACACACACATATCCTCACCAAAAGATGAGTCACTATGATGATCTCTCTTGATCACATCTCTTAGGTTCAACCCCAAAGCAATAATTAATTAAGTCTTCACATCTTTGCCAACTCTGTGACAAAAGCTATGTTAGCCAATAGAGATATAGATGTGGTCCATGTTCTTTTGGAGCTCAGAATCTAGTGAGAGAGAGAGATGAATAAAGAAAGACAATGCATTGTGATAAGTGCTATATTAAGGGTAAGCTTAGTGTCAGAGAGTTGGGAGGTCCTGAAGAAGGCCATCAAACCCACTCTAAGATATTATTCCAAAATAAAAACAAAGGCAACTTTATCTTATTAATTCCATTTAATTGGAAGGATAAAACCTGATTTTAACTTACTGTGACTACCTCATTTTCACATTTATTCAAGTGATTGACATTCAGTCTGCCTATTCATTGATGCGGAATGAGCTTGACTATAGGTGACAGCCTTGTGAAAGTGCTGGGCAAGAGGTGACCCAGTAAGACCCCACTAGAAAGCAGAAGGTCTGGGTTTAAATTGTGTAGTCTTGGGTTAAAAAATAAGTGCTGTCTCATAGCAACTGTTTTATTTTTTAGAAAACAAGGGAGCTAGATTAGTTGGTCTTTTAGGTTCACTTCACCTCTGAACACTTATGATATTAACTACATACCATTCTTACTTTTTTAATTAAAAGAGATCCTACAAACGCTTCAGCAGGGGATGATAATAACCTAATTCAACTACAGATTTCATTTGTGTATTTTACATTAATGAGGCAACATAACAGGTCAAGAGCAGAGACTTCAAAGTCCATTAGAACTGGGTTTGAGTTCTAGATTTGTCACCTGACTGGATATGACACCATGAGCAATTTACTTAACTTTTCTGGGCCTTTCATCTGTAAAATGGGGAAGTTAAAGTATATCTCAGATGGAAGTTGTGATAATTAAGATAATGAATGTAAGAGCTTAGCATAGTGCTGGATGCAAGAGACTCTTAATAAACAGTATATTATTGTTGAGTACTTCTCTGTGGCACACACTGTCCAAGGTGCTGGATAAAATACCTATTTCCTGCTTATAATATGAAAGAAATATAGATATGTAAATCATATCTAGTCCATGTGCAAAGTGATACAGTAGAGGCATTAACAAAGTAATATCAGAGCATGAGAGGACTGATACTGACTTAGAGTATGAGGTGGAGGTAGATTCTAGGGAAGGCTGTACAGGGAAGGTAAAATGTCAACAGAAATTAGTGTACAAGTGAGTTACTGTTTTTCAGACTTTGACTAGTCTAGCAAGACAGGAGAAGGCAAAGGAGGGAGCATGAGCAAAGGTGCATAGGCCTTATAGGGTATGTGATTCGAAAATAATGGGCAGTCTGATGGTCTACAGTTAAGATCAACAAGGCAGCCTGGAGTCACCTCGTGAAAGGTCACATGAAGGAGTTCAAGTTTTCATTAAATGGGGACCCATCAAAGTTGATTTTATATGCTATATATCCATTTTTAAAATCTTAGACTTCAGATTTCTTACTGAGTCTGACTCCTTAGAAGGCTGCTGCCTCATTGGTCTAAATTGGGAATCGACAAATGGCCTGCAGATCAAATCTAGCAGGCAGATTTGACCATTTTTTAATGGTTGCATTTTACATGGTTATACAAGTAACTACATACTTGATTTTCCCCTATGCCAAAAAGCGTAAAATATTTATTATTTGACCCTTTATTAAGGAAAAATGTGCTGATCACTTCTCCAAATAACAAATATGAAACTCATTTTGATTAAAAGGTCAAAATGTTGACCAAATTTTATAAACACAGTCAGCCCTCTGTATCTGTGGATTCCACATCTGTGGATTTAAGCAACTATGGATTGAAGCTATTCAGGGGAAAAAAAATTCCACAAATTTCCAAAAAGCAAAACTTGAATTTGTCATGTGCTGAGTACTATGTTGAATCCATGTGAATGAAGTGACATGTAGGCATTGTATTAGGTATTATAAATGATCTAGAGATGATTTAAAATATATGGGAGGATGCCTGTAGGTTACATGCAAATACTATGCCATTTTATGTAAGGGACATGAACACTGTGGGTTTTGGTATCCATGGGAGATCCTGGAACAAATCCCCCATGGATCCCAAGGGACAACTCTGTTTGCTTTGTGCCTATTAGGTGTTTGGAAATGTCTTCTCCCTGAAAGTATTTCTTCATGTTCAACCTACCTTTTACATTATGCAACAGGTTCAGGATTCAATGGCTAGCACCATTCTTCCTTGTATTCACTGGCTACCTGAGTATAGTTTATAGTCTCTTAGATCTTATGATAATTAGGCAATAGGATTTTATGTTGTTCTACCTTTTCTTCATCTTTCCAACAGTTAGCCAGCATTACCACTGATATCCATTTTCTTTGCCTGAAAATAAGAATTTCCCTCTTTTTGAAGTCACAAAGATTGCAGTTTTGTATGGGATTTTTATTAGTTGAATTATAGATAATTGACCCACATATAAAAAGAGACATCAAACAACAGTAGCTTGAACAAGGTAGAGCACATTTCTCTACCTCACACAATCGTCCTAGGGTAATTGATCAGGGCTGAGATGGTGGCTCTGCTCCATAGGAGTTTGCAGTGATTGGGGCTTCTGTGCCTTATTGCTTCTCCATCCTTGCAGGTCGCTCTTTTCTGAATAATGCAAGATGATCCCCCACCACATTGTGTTCCAAGCACATGAAACAAATTTGGTGAGAGGATGATATCTACCTAACAACATTATTGCAAAATTATAGATATGTAACACCCACAATAAGTAGTGCTGCACCTCTCTATTATTAATAAATAGATAATTGCAAAGAGTCTAATGAAGTGCCAGCTTTTGCGTATGTGCTGAATAAAAATAATTTCAGTGGAGCTGAACTGTGAAATAAATATACAGATACCCTTTTATCTTTTCCATGGCCCTAGGAATATGATGGCTATTATCATAATGAATGTACCAATATCGTTATATTTGAGAAGAAATTTTTTGTTTTATTTGTTATGAAGCAAAGATTGTCTTAAAGATTTCAGTTCTAGTAAATCCTGAATTCCATGCATAACTCAACAGCAGATTCTTCAAATCCCTGTACTGTTTTTCAGACTTCTTGCCTGTAGCCAAATCCTATTAAATATATTTCCATGTCATGTTATGCTTAAATAATGTGGTAGGACAGGGCCTTGACTTAGAAAGTGACACCCTTCCTCCAAGGAGGCTTCTATCACAATCATGGCATACAGAAATCATATCTTGTATTTTGCCTCTGTGGAAATGGGGGATGTTATTAAAAATTTATTTCTGCTGCAAGAAAATCTGATTCTTGGTTTATTGCGTCAGACAGCTGCTAGTATACAGTGCTGGGCAGCTGTCCTGCTGTGAGGTTCACATAAATTAATTTAACCCTCGGATACATTGCGAGGCCAATTAGAATGGTCCCTCCAGGTGCAGCAGTAAGTTAAGAACAATTTTCATGGCGGGCAGGGGGGCCATGTCCAGATAATTTGATGATGCCCAGAGTCCTGTAAGGAATATTTTCCAAATGGCAAGTTATCATGTAAAATATATTTTTGACAGCCTGAATGTATACATTCTTATAGTAGTGAGGAAAAATCATAATAATACTTAGGTGTAATATCAGTTTACAGAATGAAGTGTGTGTTTTTTGGAGCAATTCAAAGCATTTGACTAAAATTGTATTGGATTCCGTCAGTAAAAAAACTCTCTCTTCCTGTCTCATCTTTCTTTCTCAGCACTTTTTCTAGTGAGACAAGATTGAATTGGCTAAGTCCTGTGCATCAGTTACTTTAAAAGTAAAAATATAGAATAAAATTCTGTGCACCTTTCAGGTACCTCCTGTGGTCCCCAGGATCGGGTGTAAGGAACACGGAATTAAAGATTCAGTCACCTAGGTAATTAACAGAAGCAATGCAATCATAAACATAATCACAAAAGCTCGCATGGAAATCTCACAGCTTTGCCCATTTATAAAAAGGGAGCTATTTATAATGTGTCTGTCCATATAACTTAGAATATGCATATGTAAATGTTTAAGATCATAATAAAACACATAAAATATAAGATTATAATAGAGTTCTCACACCCCAAATAATAAGTCCAAAAACTCTTCAGGGATCGGATCTTCAGACATGGAGTTTGAGAAGTACTAGATCAAATCAAATTTTAAAGTTGCTTATCTCAAGGTTAAATGCACTCTTTTTAGGATCTAGAGAGTGTCCTTTTGTCTTAACTTTTATTTCATTTGATTCAAGTTTGTTAAGAGGCAATGTTATATGATGTTTCACAGAACAGGCTTTGGGGTCAGTACAACTGTTTAGGTTGTGGTGCTGTCCTTTGGTTGGGGAATGCTTTGGCCACCATATTTCCTGCTCACTCCCCCACTTAAGATTTACTTATTCATAAAATTATTTCAGAATGTAGCTCAAACACATTTCGAAATTATGCCTTCCTTCAAATCATAGATAAGGATTGCCCTCTTATATAGGTACCTATAGTGTCCTATATTTCATAATAGTAACAATGACACAATGATGACTAACATTTACTGAGCATTTGTTATGCCAGGTGCTTTACCTCTAAGGTAGGTACCACTACTGTCCTTTACAGCTGAAGGAACTAGAACAGTGCTGTTCAATAGAAGTATAATGCAAGCCACATATGTAATCTTAAATTTTTTAGTATCACATTAAAAAAGTAAAAAGTACATTAATTTAAATAATATCTTATAAAATGTAGTGGTTAAAGTGAAATGTAGTTCTGTAAAAACCATAAAGCTGAGTTTAGTGACACAATATTGAACGCTAATTCCACTTTCAAATTTTAATTTTAATTAAAATTAAAAGTAAAAAATTCAGTTCCTCAGCCACACTAGCCATATTTCTTTTTAAAAATTTTTTTTTAAATTTTACTTTAAGTTCTGGGATACATGTGCAGAACGTGTAGGTATACATGTGACATGGTGGTTTGCTGCACCTGTCAACTCATCATCTAGGTTTTAAGCCCCACATGCATGAGGTATTTGTCCTAATGCTCTCCCTCCCCTTGCTCTCCAACCCCTGACAGGCCCCAGTGTGTGTTGTTACCCTCCCCGTGTCCATGTGTTCTCATTGTTCAATTCTCACTTATGAGTGAGGATATGCAGCGTTTAGTTTTCTGTTCCTGTGTTAGTTTACTGAGAATGATGGTTTCCAGCTTCATCCATGTCCTTGCAAAGGACATGATCTCATTCTTTTTTATGGCTATATAGTATTCCATGCACACTAGCCATATTTCAATGCCCAAAAATCGTATGTAGCTAGTGGCTACTATACAGGATAGCACTACTCTGCTGTGGTCATTCCTACATTTTCTCAGTAAATATTTACTAAGTATCTATGACAAGACAGGTGTGGTCTCTGGAGACATGGCAGTACACAAAACATAGAAAATGACTGCTCTGCTGAAGGTTTCATTATAGTAGGGATGGGATGAGAGAAACAATAAACAAATAATTAACTAAAAAATATGTCAGATATTATTAAGCACTCTGAAAAAGAAGAACACAGGAGGAGAGATGGTGACAGACAGGGCTACTGTGTCTGTCAACTCAGTCTGCACACTGCCCAACTCCAGTGGACACAATTGACATTGACTGTGGTCTGAATACATTTGTTGAAGCTATGCAAAACTGCTGGAAATGTGGGCTGCAATCTTTCATAAGGTAATCAGGGAAGATCCTCCAATAATGAAGATCATTTTAGCAAAGATTTCAACACAGTGAGGGAGCAAGCCACACACTATCTGGAAGAATTTGTTTGTGATTAGATGGAATACCCAATGCAAAAACTCTAAGGCAGGAAGAGTGTCTAGAAGAGTACCTAGTATGTTGTAGGAACAGTAAGGGAGCAAGTAGTAGGAAGAGCATATTGAGCAAGGAGAAGGATGGTGGGACATGAAGTTAGGGAGGTAGCCAGAAACTGGATCAAGGTAGGCGTTTTCTAGCCATGATGGAAAACAATGGCATAAGCCCTCTCCCTCTCCCTCTCTCTCTCCCCCTCCCCTTCCCTCTCCCCTTCCCCCTCCCTCTCCCTCTCCCTCTCCCTCCTTTTAATTAAAAATTACCCTAGCTGCATTGTTGAGAATATGCTGAAGGAGAATGATAAGTTGCAGGAAACTGCTAAGCACGCTATTGCAATAATCAAGGTGAAAGATGATGGTAGTTGAGAATAGAGTCACAGCATGAGAAATGGTGAGAAGTGGTTGGACTATGAATGTGTTTTCAAGGTGGAGCCAATACTGATTGATTAGAAGTGAGATTTAAATCAAAAAAGAAACAGTCAAACATGATTCAAAATTTTTTGGCCTGAGTAACCTGTAGAATGCAGTTGCAATTTTCTGACATGAAGAGATTGAATTAGTGACTACTGGTTGCACAAACATTTTCTAAGTACCACTGACCCACCTGCATATCTCTCTCACCTTTTGTTGCTCAGGAAACAAGCATCCAAGCCAAAGTCTATTTCCTAGGAAGCTCCATGGCCAGTTCCAACTCTGTTGGCCCCATCCATTTGGCCCCAATTTGTTGTAAAAATCTAAATTAGTTGAGGGAAGAACATTAATGAATTGTATTATGTGTGCCTGCTTTGATATTCTATTCTAATGTCTTTTCTGTTCATTATGGTCACCCTCGTCCTTTTTTCCCTAAGCACACATTTAAAAGATAAAGAAATATCATTTATCTTCTTATTTCCTTGCATGGTTTTCTACAGCTGAATGTGCTCCTCATAAAATTGATTTAAGATACTTACCAGACTTTAAATTGATTGGAAACTTCCTCTAACTTCTATTGCTTTGTTTTTCCTCTAGCAACTTTTTTAACTTAGACAGTTAAATGGGCAAATATTCCTTTAGCTATCTCTATGTTAAATGCTAGCTCCTCTAGACTTTCCTAAGGGCAGAAGAATATCAAAAAGTTGTCTATTTTTATTTCATAAAGGGAGTTTTCAACATTGAAAAACTAACCTGTACTCATTAAAGGAAATTTGAAAAACACACACATGCACACGCAAACACACACACACACACACACACACACACACACACAGATAATTAAAAAAAAAGGGAAGAAAAAAAAAACCAATCCTGTAACCCAAAAACAACACATGTATTTATTTGTGAATATGTGTATGTATATGTGTGGGTGTGTTTGAGTGTACACACATATTCATCATGCTTTTTCACTTAAAATACCACATACATTTTATTTAACTATAAAGCATCCTTAAATACTGCTGTAATAGCTACATACCATTCTGAAATGAAAATGTCACTATCTCCCCTACAAATAGGCATTTAAGTTGTTTCCAATTATCCTGTCATAAATAATCTTACACTGAACATTTTTGTTCACAATATGGATTCTGTATTTAGAGATTGCTCTATTCACAATTTCCCAAAAGTAAAATTATTTAGTCAGTCAACAGTTGCAAATACTTATTTAGGGCTGTTGATACACATTGCTTATGTATTTCATAAAAATATTGTACCACTTTAAACTTCTACCTATAATGTAGCAAAAGCATACTTATCTCCCTACTAGCACTATTAAGTAGTTGTCCCTTTTTATTTAAACTATGCTAACTTAATAGGTTTTAAAAAGCCACCAAATTTTGTTAATTTTCATGTATTTGGTTGCTTCCAAACTTGACTACTTCCACAGGCTTGTTTATTCATTGTATTAAGTGTTTTATTTATATCTTTTATTCATTTATATTGAGGTATCAAAATATTATTCTTGTCAATTTACTTAACTTTTTATAGAAGAAGCATTGCATTTGTCAAATATTTTTATACAAATATGCTTTTTCAGAATGATGTTTGGGTTTTCATATTGTTTATGGCGTAGGTTTTAATTTAAATTTTAGAAGGTTAGTATCCTCTAAAGTAATAATAAATATGGTAGAAATTTTAGAAATTACAAATAAGCAAAAAGAAGAAAATAAAATTGTCCCATTCTTAGTATTCAGTGGTAACTGTTCACAACATTTGATGTATTTTCTTTCATCTTTTTCTTACATACTTAAGTACTTTTTACAAAAGTAGGCTCATCATTATGCATTCTACTGTCCTATTTTTTTCTGCTTAAAATGTTAAGAAAACATTCTAATGGCATTAAATGTTCTTTATTATCACTTAATGGCTTTATATTATAGATACAAATTTATTTATCCAGACCACTGTTACTGAATCTCTTTATTTCTAACATTTACTGTAATAAGGATGTATAGATAGCTTTATGGTGAATCTTTGGACACATCCATAATTATTAAATTATTTCCTTAGGATGAAGTTCCCTAAAAGTAGGCTTAAGCAAATTTTAATGTTTTTATTACATATTATCAAATTGTCCTTCAAACCTATTTCTTAAGTTTATGGCATTGGGTTTATGTTGACATAAAGTTGTAACTGTTTACATAATACTTGAAATAATTTAAAAGGAGCAATTTACCTAGCTATACATGTATTGGAAAAGAAAGATAAATAAATATGCAATGTGCCAAGCATTCAAATTTCCAGAGCAGATATCTCACAATTTACAAATCTAAGAGTTACTTGAATATATTAATATATCTTTATTCCTAAATGTACTAGAGGAAATTGAGTTTGAAAAATCCCTTATTTGCTTTGTCTACATCAAGTTGGTCTTTGGTCTCACAAAGTGGTATTTTCCAGATCCAGTAAAGATGTGGAGGCAGTGGCTCAGAGAACTAATAATATATCTACCAAATGCTTACATGTACCAAACCCTTGCCAACATCCTTTTTTTTCCCCCATTTAATTCAAGAACAGCCTCATTTAGTGGAAGAGGAAACAGCTTCAGAACAGTTGAGGGTTTGTCCTAGGTCACACAGCAGTGAAGTTGCAGAACTGAGATCTGTTTCATTCCAAAAGAGCTCAGTTTTTACCTCCATGTTGCCTGCTTATAAACCCTAAGACTTCAGCATGAGTTTTGGTCCTACACATGCTATTCTATCAACTTTCGCTTGCATTTGCATTTACATTACAATTGATTTTAGAGAACTGAACACAAGTTCTAGTTACAGCCTTTGGTCTCTCTCAGTTCCTGTTTATTTTAATTAGGCCATTTTAAAATTGTTCATTTCATCCCAACCAGAAGAATGTAATATTAATAAGGATCCGTCACATGCATACTATAAAATAATATAAATTAACCCCAGTGGTGATTATTAAGCCTGAGATATATCTTAATATGCCTATTATTCAACATTGAGCAATGGGTTGTGGTTTTTAAAAAAAAAAATAAGAAAATATTGGGAGGGAAAGATGTTCAACTCTCATTACCGCAGACAATTTAAAATTTGTAATTAACAAAGTAAAGTATTGTACAGTGCAGTGAGACACAAGAAACATCAAGTCATACCTGTTCAGGTTACCAATGCTCGATAGAAAAAGTGATGATCTGAGGCCAGAAATCCTTTGACTCCCATCTTAACCTTTTACTAATGTATAACTTTGGACAAATTCCTTCTTCCTTCTAAGCTTCTATGTACCCACCTGATGTGGTTTGGGTTTGTGTCCCCGCCAAAATCTCACGTCAAATTGTAATCTCCAATGTTGGAGGAGGGGCCTGGTAGGAGGTGATTGGATCATGGGGTGGACTTCCCCCTCACTGTTCTCATGATTGTGAGTGAGTTTGCCTGAGATCTGGTTATTTGAAAGTGTGTGGCACCTCCCCCTTCTCTCTCTTCCTTCTTCTCTGGCCATATAAGAATGGCTGCTTCTCCTTCGCCTTCAGTCATGATTGCAAGTTTTCTGAAGCTTCCCTAACCATGCTTCCTGTACAGCCTGTGGAACTGTGAGTCAATTAAACCTCTTTTCTTTATAAATTACCCAGTCTCAGATAGTTCTTTATAGCAATGTGAGAATGCACTAATACACCACCTTTAAGAGAAAGTGAAATTTTCTTCAAATGCTTAGGTGGGTTGAATTCAGTATCAAACATGGTAGTCCAAATTGCAGAATGATGCTAAAATATTGGTAGAGGAAAAACAGAAAGAATTTGGAATGTCAGTAGTCAGAATGAATATCAAATGATTTTCCCCCAGCTATTATTGCATTTCCCATAGGTGATCTGTCCACATACCATGTCCTTTGACTGCTGGAGGCAAGCACTTGAGCTGGTCTCTCCATCTGACCCGCACTATTCCCTTGCCTATCTGGACTATACTAATCTCTTTCTCATCTAAGAGCCTAGATGAGATTCAGCTCAAGCATCACCTCCTTAAGAAGCTATCTCATTTTTTGCCCAGGTCTGGCCTAATGCTAAATGTGCTTTTCCCTGTGCTCCCATAATGCTTTACACATGATTCTAAAAAGTGGTTGTCTCATTGTCCTGCCTATGCAGGCACCAAATGAACGAGTGATATAACAATCTCCAGGCCAGGCGTGGTGGCTCACGCCTGTAATCCCATCACTTTGGGAGGTGGAGATGGGCGGATCACCTGAGGTCGGGAGTTCGAGACCAGCCTGACCAACATGGAGAAACCCCATCTCTACTAAAAATACAAAATTAGCCGGGCGTGGTGGCGCATACCTGTAATTCCAGCTACAAAGGAAGGCTGAGGCAGGAGAATCACTTGAACCCGGGAGGTGGAGGTTGCGGTGAGCCGAGATCGCGCCATTGCACGCCAGCCTGGGCAACAAGAGCTAAACTCTGTCTCAAAAACAAACAAACAAACAAACAAACAAACAAAGAACAACATTCTCTAGACAGAGCTTTTGTAGCTAATAGAGCTATTTTTCTTTACCCAAAAAAAGTGGAGGAAGGGGAGAGAACTTAATAGCAAACCCTGAGCAGCCAGGAATCTCTGATTGTCTTCTTGGCGTTTAGTTCCTGGGCTATGGCAATTGAGAAGCTGGATCTCCAGACCTCAGGATATTTTATCTTTACGGTCACCCTCAAGTCCCAACATTCCTTTTATTCCTGAGGCCAAAACTCACTAGGACCATTCCTTTCATTATTACCCTCCATCAGAAGCCCACTGCATCAGCCCTCCACATCCACCAGTTCTACTAACTGCAGGTCCCACCAACCACGAATCAAAAATATGTTTTTTAAAAAAATAAAAATAACAATACAACAATAAAAATACAAATTTTAAAATACAACATAACTATTTACATAGGATTTATATTGTATTAGGTATTAATATTATAAGTAATCTACAGATTATTTAAAGTGTATGGGAGGATGTGTGTAGGTTATATGTAAGTAATACTCCATTTTATATAAGGGACTTCAGCATCCATGGATTTTGGTATGGGGGGTTCCTGGAACCAGTGCCCTGCAGATACCAAGGGACAACTGTACACTATCTTCTAGTGACTTCCAAGACAAGCTAAGGGCTGCACAAGAGAGATTCAAAGACCCCTTGGGTGAAATCATTATCCTGTAAAGTTGCAGCATTTATCTCTGGGAATAATTCTAGAGAAAGATTCTGGTGTCAAGAAGGTAACCGAGTGTCACAATAGTCATGCAAGTTAGGAATCATCCCCATTTTATAGTTAAGGACACCGAGGCTGGTGAGGTTCAGTATAATAGTCAAGATTACACAGAAAGAGCCAACCTATGACTGCAGCTCCATCTGGAGCCACAGCTCCTATCCTTTCCACTACACTACAGTGCCTGCACTGTAACAATCTGCCTCCCTGCCTTAACTGAGCCTTTAGAACTCAATCTTCTCTAGCAGGGGGCAGTTTTAGACACAGTGAGAAAATTTCTTCACTAGTACCTTTTTTTTTTCCCCCAGACTATCCAAGGCCAGAAGTCTCATCACAAGGAATAAGATTTGTTTGCAAGTTTCTTAGTCTCTACAAATGCACCATTGTTTTCTATTTCTTTACTTGAGTTGAATTATTCGTTTGTATCTTACTTTTTCAAGGTTTCACATCATTGCAAATTCACTTTCCCAGGAAGCCCGCTTTGAGACACGTTTGCATGTGGAAAGTTTACTAGGGAGTAAGGGTGTCAGGGCCAGTCAGAGTGGGAAGCTAAACAGTGATGCAGTCACAGTAAAGGCCTCAATCAATTCCGTGGGAAGCTCTGAAGCTGAGATGACCTGCAGAGTTGTGCCAAATTGAAGCAAGGAGGCCAAGATTTTATATCCTCCCCCTTTGCTGTCAGTCATTGAATACTGGGTGGCCCCAGCAAAGTGGCTGTTCTCCTGGGAGAGGAGGTGCTCCTCAGCCAAGGACATTAGGGGAGCAAGTTCTCAGCTGCAAGCTGTCAGAGGGCAGCCCTCCCAGCCTCAGCAGAGTGAGTGTTTCAGTGTAAAGGGAGAATCTGTCACGCAGCATGTCTTTAGGCACCTGGGAGCAATCACCTAGGCTGATCTCTCCATCTTGCCTGCACTACTCCTTTTGCCATCTGTACTTGTGTGAATGGTATACAAAAGGTTTACAACACAGGGCCCACTACCCTTGGTATCTCTCAAGAGTTCCGTAAGTGCTAGTGGTGGCTGAGAGCAACCTGTGCCTGGGGCCCCAAGAAGAGGCCGGCTGATCAGACACAGCTTGGTGGAAGAGCCTTTGACTAAGAGTAGAAAACCTACTTTTGCTGTTCTCTGTGTGGATTTGGTCATGATTTATTTGCTCTGTGAGCTTATTTATTGGGGTTAATACAAGAAAGTCCTTAGCATAGTTCTTAGAATATAGGAGGCTCTCCATGAATGCAAACTCAGTCTCCTTTTCCCTTCATTTTATTTGCTGAGTATTGGGTTAGATATTATCTAATATCTTTCCAAGTTCTTAAATCCATACTGGAATATTGTAATGCATTCTCAGATTTTATTTCATTTTTATTATGTGTTCTTTATTAACTAAGCTTATAATTATCAGTATCTATCTTTTCATCTTATTTATTTATTTATTTATTTATTTATTTATTTATTTATTTTTGAGAGAGAGCCTTGCTCTGTTGACCAGGCTGAAGAGCAGTAGGGTGATCTCTGCTGACTGCAACCTCTGCCACCCAGATTCAAGCGATTATTGTGCCTCAGCCTCCTGAGTAGCTGGGATTACAGGGGTGTGCCACCAAGCCTGGCTAATTTTTGTATTTTTAGTAGAGATGGGGTTTCACCATGTTGGTCAGGCTGGTCTTGAACTCCTGACCTCAAGCCATCTGCCCACCTCAGCCTCCCAAAGTGCTGGGGATTACAGATGTGAGCCACCACACCCAGCCCCCATCTTTTTTTCATTTGATTTTTATAGCCATGAAATTCCTAGCTGGGGGAAACCTTAGTAATAGTCAAAACTCCTTATTTTACTCATGAGTAAATGAGCACACTGGTCAGGGAAGGGGAGGAAAGTGACTTGTTCAAGGTCACATAGCAAGTAATGACAGAGTAGAGAACACCATTCATGTTTCCTGACCTATCCCAAAGCTTGTCAACCACTCCACAAACCCCAGCTGCTCCTGGTACGTTCCGGCCTATAAGGCAGCATGATTTGCTTTCCTTGCGTTAACATTATTCTAGCATGTAATATCTGTGTTTAATGCAATGACCTGAGAAGTACTTTTATTTCCAGTGCTGCACGTATTTTGCAGGGTTTATTAATTTTATTTATGTATTTGATCTCTCAAATGAAATAATAAACTAATTAGTAGGACAACTTACTGGTGTGCTCTGCCAAGGGTGTTTTACAGCCTTGGTGCAAGCTTGTCTAACTGTGGTGTCAGCAGATCCGCTTTCTGCCCTGCTGCCCTTAATTTCAGCCATCAGATACATGTGGTAGGCGGCCCTGTGGTGGGGACTTGTGCCTCCAGGAGGCATGACCAAAGATATCAGGTCATGGGGCAAAAGAATTTTTGCCCAGAAGTCTCCCTGGAATTTGATCCACAGACAGGGTGTTTCATATTGCTTAAAGGGATGGGACTGGGGTTCCCAGGGAACAGAAGTAAGGTTCCTAAAATGAGAATTTCCAGAGAATGGGGAAAACTCTGCATAGAAGCATTGGAAGTCACAACTGAGAGGTCCATAGTCTACCAATATTAAGAGCAAAGCAAAGAGGCTGGGCGCAGGGGCACACGCCTGTAATCCCAGCACTTTGGAAGGCAGAGGTTATCTGCTTGGGGCCAGGAGTTGGAGACCAGCCTAGCCAACATGGCAAAACCTCATCTCTACTAAAAAAATACAGAAAGAAAATTAGCTGGGCGTGGTGACATATGCTTGTAATCCCAGCTACTCGGGAGGCTGAGTCATGAGAATTGTCTGAACCTGGGAGGAGGAGGTTGCAGTGAGCTGAGATCATGCCATTGTACTCCAGCCTGGGTGATAGATCAAGATTGTGTCTCAAAAAAATAAGAAACTTTGGGAGGCCGAGGTGGGTGGATCACAAGGTCAGGAGATCGAGACCATCCTGGCTAACATGGTGAAACCCCGTCTCTACTAAAAATACAAAAAATTAGCCGGGCATGGTGGTGGGCGCCTGTAGTCCCAGCTACTCCAGAGGCTGAGACAGGAGAATGGCGTGAACCCGGGAGGCGGAGCTTGCAGTGAGCAGAAATCACGCCACTGCACTCCAGCCTGGGCGACAGTGAGACTCCATCTCAAAAAAAAAAAAAAAAAGAACAAAATTGCAAAGCAAGGAGCAGTACAAGGAAATCAATTCAAAAACGATAGACACTGGGACATTGCAAGACATAGAAGCAGGGGTAGAAGAAGTTCTGGAAAACACAGAGTCATTGGAACAAATAGGGAAATAGTACCAAAGTTGTGTTTGGTGTACGTGGGCTTTCCTCCAAGGTGGCCCCATGTGTGTTCTCATAACAGCCAGTACTTATCTCTATCCTTGTCATTGTTTACTTCTCTGTACTCATTTGACCATGAACACTAGTATGTCACCAAGGTCTAGAACCATGTCTGGAATATAAGAGGGGCTCAGTAAACATTTGTTGAAGAAAAGGAAGGATGGATGGATGACTTGGTAAATGAATCAATCTGTCAAAGCTACTAGGGGTCGAAGATTTATGAACTATATTATATTCATCTGCTGTCTTTGATGTAATCAGCAGAACCCAACCAGAGACAACTTTTTTCAGTTATTCATATTTATTATAGAGTGATTCAACATAGCAAAGGAGGATCTAACATAAAAGTTTTGAACTTCTCTTGATTAAATTTTCTTACTTACTAATGCCACTACACACATGAACGTATTCTTTTGGGGTGGAGGTAAAGGGTCTCCATATTCTAAAGTTCTGAAGTTAGAATAATTTCATCTAGATGTCAAACTAACTTCTAGATGCCTCCACTTGTCTACTAGCTGCCTTGCAGATATGAATGCTGTCACTGTCCTGTCTGCTGCTAAATTGTCACTGCAGATTAGATGCAACATGACTGTTCTTGTCAAATCAAGTTCCAAATCTCTGTCTGGGAACTGGCTGGAACATTAGAAAGGAGGAGGGTCAGTGACACCCTGCAATGGGAGCTAAGAAAGCTCAGGATCCTCACATTCTGCAATGGGGAACTCCGTACTGTGATTGGTTCCCCTAGGGGTTTTACTGCTCACACCTTTGCTATGATTGAATGTATGCAAATTAGAATATTAGATATAATTTGTGTACATGCTGGCTCTGCTACCCTCATCCAACAGCTGTAGAGTTCTTGGGGATGTGCAGATGAGGTAACCCTAATATGATGCTGTTTACATATGGTGGCTCTCATTGGGACACAGGCAGTCCTCATGTGTTGATGATTATTAAGTGGTAGGGCCAGAATTGAGATTTGTGGTCTTAATTTATACACTCACTCTCTATGTGGCTCAGACAGGACCAGGCCTCAGAGATGCTGGGGTTCTAAGCCCAGGCAGGTGCCAGAGCATGGAGATGTCTTGGAGATCTTTTGCAAATACATATAATTGTTTGTATAATAAGCCTAATTATAAGGCCTGCCATTCATTCCATGCCTATCACACACTAGTCAGTATACTAAGGTCTTTCAAAGTAGTACTTAATGTTACAACAAACCTGCAATTATATACACTCCCATTTTAAAGGAGGAAACTAAACTTTAGAAAGGGGAAATAACTTGTCCAGAATCACACAGAGCTCACATGTTATTAAGAAAATATACTAAATTTTCATAGAAAGTAGTAATCAAAACCAACAAAGATGTAAAAACTAGGGTAAAACAAACAAATAAAAAGCAACTATCTATTGTCTTTTTTTACTCTGTGATTGGAAAGATAGCAAACATAGTGCTTATTAAAACGTTTACTCTGTAGTACCTATGAACAGCTTATTTCTGTGGTTTTTTGGGAGCTGTGCTTGAGAACTTTGGGCTTATTCCAAGATCTAGAAGCAGAAACTTTTCTAGGCTTCCAGACCCTCTCAGCTAACAAACTGCAGTCACATTCTGGTCCAAGACCTATGTCATGTGTAAGATCACAATAAAAGACCAAATATTAGGTTGTTGCAAACCTAATTGCAGTTATTGCCATGAAACATAATTACAAAAACCACAATTACTCTTTTAGTATATGTGTTGCCAAAGCGAGCACAAAAACACACACACACACACAATTACTTTTGCACCAACCTAATAGAATGTGTGTGTACTCAGACCTCTCCTTGAGGTGACTAAAATAGTGTCTTAGGCAGTTCAGGCAGCTGGAACAGAATATCATGGCTTAAACAACAGCACTTACCTCTCACAGTTCTGGAGGCTGGAAGTCTGAGACCAGGGTGGCACCATGGCTGGGTTCTGGTGAGGGCCCACTTCTGGGTTTCCGACAGCCAACTTCTTGTATCCTCACACAGCAGAAAAAGAGTGAGAGAACTCTCTGTAGTACCTTGTATAAGGGCACTAATTCCATTCATGAAGGCTCCACCCTCATGACCTAATCACCTCCTAAAGTCCCCACCTCCTAAGACCGTCATATTGGGGGTTCCAATTTCAGTATATGAATTTAGCAGGGGTGGAGAGTCACAAACATTCAGACCATTGAAAACAGACTTTCCTATGTAGTCACAGCTTGGAAAGAACTGGTTAAATTTTTTACCTCATTAGGGGTAGAGGTTCTTCAACAAAAGTTGTTAAACAATGCTAGATCCCAAATATGAGCATTTTAAATTTTTCTCCAAACTCTAAATTTCTATTGTATATTTTACAAAAGTTACTTTTTGTTCCACTATATTTGTAGTTTGTGTATTATTTCAGCCACTAACGTGTGCCAGATCCCCTTTCCCTGTTTCATGTTTCTCCGTGGCACTTATCGCCATCTGACACACTCTATATTCAATTATTTAGTTGTTTATTGTCTTTCTCTGTCCCCTGGAATGCAAGTTCCGTAAGGGTAGGAATGTAAGTCTAGTTTGTTATTAAATCCCCAGTGTTCAAATCAGTGTTTGGTACAGTTAGACTGTCAACAAATATTTATGAAGTATAATGATGTATGGGTGGATGGAAGGATAGATGGGTGGATGTATGAATGATGAAGGTTGGACGGATGGATGATTGATGATGAAGACTGGAGAGTGGAGGATGAATGGATGGATGGATGATGGATGGTTAGATGGATGGATGATTGATGATGAAGTATGTAGGGTGGAGAATGAATAGATGGATGGGTTGGATGTATGATGAGTGGTTGGATAGATGGATGGATGGACAGTTGGATGGACGGATGAATGGATGGATGGACGGATATGTAGATAGTTGGTTGATGGATGTATGGATAGTTGATTGATGGATGGATGGATATGCCTTATTGGTTATGAAAATTTGGGATAAAATTATAGTAATTAAGATAGCATGAATACTTGCACAGGAATAGAAAACTAGTGGAACAAAATATACAGCCCCAAAACAGACTGTGTGTAGTAGAAACTTTGTCATCACAGATGCATTATTTCAGAGTAGAAATGATGAAATGAGAAATAAATGGTACCAGGACAAAGCATAGCTATACAGAAAGGTTACTTAATTCTGACTTTATATTATATAAATAGTACCAACAGCATAACTTTAAAAATATTAGAAGTAATTATAGGTCTTTATGACTCAGGTGTAGGAAAGGATTTATTGAGTAAAACCAAAGGAAGCACTTACCGTAAAGGGAAATTAAGTGTTTAATACTGAGCATCAATTTTCTCTTTCTTAAGTGGAAACGTAAGATAAAAAATAGAGAATGCAAAAGCAACAGAGAAAATAAATGAAACAGTTAGTTATTTAAAAAGAGCAAAATTTACAAATCTTTAGCTAGATTAAGAAAAAATGAGAGAAGAGTTAAATATATTTCATTACATTAAAATTTTAGAAGTTTAATATGTCATTTTAAACAAAATGTTCACATAGGAAAAATATTTTCAACATATATACCCACATAAGAGTTGGTATTGAAAGCAAACAAATTTAGTATAGAACATAATTATAACAAACCCCTATATACCACCACATATCTTAGTCAAATATTATCACTTTACCATTTTGATCTTTCCTCTACTTAGGGTCCTCTTCCTATAACTTGTGACCACACCTGTTTTAGGACTTTACTAAATGTCGCCTTCTGGTGAGGTCTTCCCTAACTACCTCCTTTAAAATGGAACTCCCATCCTCAGCACTCTTTTTTTCCCTTTTCTGCTTCCAGTTTTTCCATGGCACATGTGACCATCTGACATACTAGGTGTTTTACTCTCTCTTTAATGTTTATTTATTTATTTATTTTTGGTGTGTGTTGTCTCCCTTCTATAACAACCCAATAGAAAAATGGACATATGAAAAAGCAAATCACTGAAGGGAAAACCTAAATGGCCAATTAAATAAACTACAAAAGAATGTTCTATCTCACTATTGTATTTTAGCATGTAGAGAAATACATGCTAAAACACAATAAGATATTTTATATCTATCAAATTGGAAAAATGTTTAAATCTGATCTGACAATACCAAATGCTGGTAACAGTGTGAACTAACGCCAGATTGGTATAAATGCTGCTGTCACTTTGTAGAGCAATATCTAATAGGCCGGGCACAGTGGCTCAGGCCTGTAATCCCAGCACATTGGGAGGCCGAGGAAGGTGGATCACTTGAGGTCAGGAGTTGAGACCAGCCTGGCCAACATGGCGAACCCCGTCTCTACTAAAAATACAAAAATTAGCCGATCGTGGTGGTGGGCTCCTGTATTCCCAGCTACTGGGGAGGCTGAGGCAGGAGAGTTGCTTGAGCTGGGGAGGCAGAGGTTGCAGTGAGCAGAGATAGTGCCACTTCACTGCAGCCTGGGTGGCAGAGCGAGACTCCATCTCAAAAAAAAAATAATAATGTAATAATTCTGAAGATGCATGTACTCTATGGCACAGCAAGTCCACTGATAAATCTCACACATAGGTACCCAAGGAGTATACATTGTCCATTGCAACATTATTTGTGTTAGCAAAATTTGGAAACTGCCCAAATATGCATCAAATATGGATCATTAGGCTAAAATATAAACACGTGATAAAATACTATCTACATGTTAAAAAAATTATGTCTAATGGACAAAATCTTGAAAATATAATATTAGAAAAAATAGGCTTTAAATGGATACCTACGTTAGGATACCATCTAAACAAAGTTTTAAAACATGCAAACCAGTAACATATATTGTTTATGAATACAACTATGTATTAGAACAGAAAAATATGTATGGAAATTTAGGAGAGTCGTTATCTTTGTGGAATTGGGAAGAAATTCATGGGAGGGTTTGCTTATTTCTACAATGTTTTATATTAAAAAAGGTCTGAAACAAATATGACAGAATGATAATATCTGACCAAGCTGGTATCAGTACATAAGTTTTTGTTATAATTATGTCTATATTCAGGTTCATGCTTGAAATATTTAATAAGAAAATAAGTAGGAGGCACTTAAGTGTGACTTAAGAGGGAATAAAATTCAAGTCTTTGCATTCCAAATAATAAAATGCAACAAGGTAAAATTGTAAACTGAACTTTGTGTGAGTCAGAGCCTGTGTCCAAACCCAGATTCAGTGCCTTCTTTTCATAATAGTTAATGAGATTAGGCTTTGGAACCAGACATTCTGGGTTTGAATCTTGGCTCAGACACTCATTAAGTGTTTAATAGTGAGCATCAATTTTCTCTTATTTAAAGTGGAAACATAAGATAAAATGGAGAATGCAAAAGCAACAGAGAAAATAAATGAAACAGAGTTGGTTCTTTAAAAAGATCAAAATTTACAAATCTTTAGCTACATTAAGAAAAAATGAGAGAAGAATTAAATAACTAAAATAAGAAATGAAAGAGGGGACGTTTCTTCCAATTTTACAGAAATCAGAAGGATTATAAAGTAGAAAACAGGACCTCCTAATGTAACCACCCAATGATTACATTCTTGCATGCTGCCCAGATGAAGCCAATTTATCAAGGCAGGGGAATTGCAATAGAGAGATTTTTACACGTAGAGCCAGCTAACGGAAGACTGGTATTTTATTCTGACTCAAATCAGCCTGCTAGAGCATTTTGGGGCAGGATTTTTCAAAGGTAGTTTGGGGGAAGGGGTGGGAGTGGATAGAGCAATGGGTGTTTGCTGCTGATTGATTGGGGGTGCAATCATATGGGTGTGAGAAATGGTCCTTCTGTAGTGCTGGTCACAGGTGAGGTCACAGGCATGGTTGTTGGGTCCAGGTGGAGCCATAGGTCATCAGACGTGCAAAAAACCTGAAAAGATATTTCAAAAGGCCAATCTTAGGTTCTGCAATAGTGATGTTATCTGCAGGAGTAACTGGGGAAATTGCATATGTTGTGAACTTTGAATAATAGCTGGCAATTATTTGTCTACACCTTAGCAAAATTCAGGTTTCTCTATCCTCCTAGCCTTCTGGTTTCTCATTAGCTTTACAAAGGTGGTTGGGTTTTGGGAAGGCTATTATCATTTAAACTATAAATTAAATTTCTCCCAAAGTTACCTTGGTTTAAGCCCAGAAATAATGAAGGGCAGCTTGAAGACTAAAGGCAAGAAGAGATTTGGTCAGGTCAGATCACCCTCACTGCCGTAATTTTCGCACTGATATGATTTTTGCAAAGATGGTTTCACTAACAACAAATATGAGGAGGATTAAATGAGAAAATATTTGTATATTGCTTAGCATACTTTATGGCATATAATATAAAGGAAGATTGATGTGTGTTTAAGAGCTCCAGGTCTTTATGTAAAAAGACATGAACTTTAAGCCTGTTTTGAATTCCAGGCTTTCTGTCATTTTTTTTTTGTTTGTTTTCTACAATAAACCCGTCAGGTTAGACTTATTATCCCACTTTATATATAAGAAAACTGAGGCTTAGAGAGGTCAAATAAATTGTTCAAAGTTACCTAACTCTTAAAGGACAAAAATGGGATTTAAACCAGGTCTACCTCCAGAAAAATATAACTGTATATTAATATCCTGGCTATATATCACTAGTTTTATGAGTAGACTAAATTGAATTTCTAAAAAGCACTACAATAATCTATCCTGTAACTTTTTTTCCCTTGAACAGGGAGTCGACCATTCATTTCTGATTAAAACTAGTAACAAATCTCTACTTAGTTTATATATATGTAACTCCAAATGTGTAAAATAACTGAGTTGTTATAATGGGATATTGTTACTAGATAAATATTCCTGCCTTAAACAGATTCTTGGTCTTGGAATACATTGGAAAATCACTAGGCTGTGATATTTTATTATATTGACTTTGTGTGTGTGTATATTTTTAACCATAAGATCTTTTTTTTTTTGTTTTACTGACTGCTCTGAAAAATTGCTGCCTCCCTGCTTTCCATCTTCTTGTATCTTTTATGAATCCAAATGGAACATCACTTTTTATTGTCACTGATTATTTTGAATGAACAATTTTCTTAATATAATTTTTGTCAGGTCCATTTCATTAATTAATTCTTTTGTTCCTTCATTCACACACTCATTCCTCCCTTAGGCAGCAAACATTGATGGAATGACAATTGTGCCAGTCTCTGACTAGGTTCAGGGGAAGCAAAGTTTAATAAGGCATAAAAACGTCATCAGAGGCACTCACAAACAGGGGAGGCAGAGATGGAAATGGATAATTCCAGTGCAGTGTTATCTTCAGAATGGAGGTATTGCTGGGGAATAGGGAGTCCCCAACTAATTGAGAAAAGTGGTACAGGAATTGTGATATTGGAGCTGAAACTTCTGTTTGCTTCTTTACTGTCTGGAAAAATAATGCATGCTCTCTGTAGAAAATTTGGAAAGCATAAAGAAACAAGAGAAAAATAACCTACAATCATACTACAAAGATGACCACTGTTATTTCTGAGGACCAACCCGTGGATGAGCTTAAACTTTATCAACAATTTTGTTATACAAAATATATTTTCTGTATAGTGAACATTTAAAAAATTATTTTTATATTTACATATTATTCTTCTATGCAGAAATACCAATTTTTTTTATTCCTCTATTTGGTGTTTCCCTCTTACAAATAACCCTATGATGAATATCCCTGTACGTAAATACCGGTCTGCATTCATAATTGTTTCCTCAAGAAGGAACCCAGCCAGCCTGGGCAACATGGTGAAATCTTGTCTCTATAAAAAAATGCAAAAATTAGCCAGGCGTGGTGGCACACCTGTAGCCTCAGCTACTCAAGAGACTGAGGCAGGAGGATCACGTAAGCCTAGGAGGTTGAGGCTGCAGTGAGCCATGATTCCGCCACTGCACTCCACACTTCAGTGTGGGCAACAGAGTGACACCTTGTCTCTAAAAAAAAGAAGACGAAGAAGAAGGAATCCGGAAGCTGAATTACAGATTAAAGGGTCTGATCGCTTTTAAGACTCAACATTTTCTCCAGTGCCTGCCTGTTTACTGATCTCAAGGCAAGAGCCCAAGCCCTTTAGAAAGTCAGATGAATTAAAAATGTGGGGAAGTTCTTTAAAAATTCTTAGACTCTTTTGTGTATGTGTAGATATGTATGTATGTGCATATGTATGTATCTCAGATACAAACAGACACACGTATCCTGATTCTCTTCTAAGAGGCATTCTGTGACTACCTCTTGCCTAACACGCACAGTGGTCTGTATTTGTTGACTTTTTCGTCAGTGGTATTTTTATTTTATCCATCTCTCTATTCCCAGTGCCTGGTGTATGGGAGGAAGTTAGTAAATGTTTCTTTACTGAGAGAGAAGAAAAACAAGACCATTAAATAATTAATATTTACTTTTTTAAATATCATGTTTTGTTTGTTTTCAGCACTCAGCAAGACATGGTGGTGAGCCCTGACTCTCAGTCTTCATGATTGAAGAACTCTTTTGTACAACACAAAGGTAAATATTTGAGTCTGGCTGGGTATCGTTGGTACAAGGAAAATCTTTCTCTTTGGGAAAATTTCCCACAAATATCTCTGGGTTCTCTCGAAGTGGTAGCTTTTGTATTTTGTATTCCTTCTTAAAACATATCAGAGGGTTCATGGAGCCTTTGGAATTGGTGCTTCGGGTTGCTTTTCTCTAGTCGGCTTTGTGTTTATGGTTAGAGGAAGAGAATATTGGTTCTCTTTTGTCTTTTCTTTAGGTACCTAGAAAATGTCATCAGGATCCTTAGGTTTTCCTGCCTCTGTTTTAGCCACTTCTAATAGATCATCTCAGATTGGCTTGATTTTCAACAGAACTATGTTAGCTCTCTTTCTTAAATGCACCCCTCTGTCCCACTGCCCATTTTAATATATTTACCAACAGAGGAAACTATTCTCAACTGTGGAAAATAAACTCAAACAATATGTAAGATAAATGCAGAAACATGGAAAACAGACTTGGAGATTTACGAGCATAAAGGGAAAGTACTGTTATTTTGACGTCCTAAACTTTTAAATGATGGCAACCCTGAATTATGTGCTTCATACAGGAGCCAGGAATCCACAATTGAAAACGCCTATTCTTTTGACAAATTAGAAGCATTCATTCCAATATCTATTTCTTGTTTACTGGGGATAATGCTGAATGAATCACAGACTGGTGGATGGATGTCCCTTCCAACACTTTTAATTAGCAGCACTGCCTATTAGGATGAACAGAGCATTGCTCTTCTGCCATAGATTACCCCTAACCCCCCTTAAATGGAACAGAAATCTTATTCTCCACAAGGTAATATTCATCTCTTCTCCAGCCAGACAAGCATAGAAAATTAAACAATGGTCCATTAAAAGCCCAGATAATATATTTATCATTTCCAGTTTATGTGAGTTTGCAAGGCAAATATGAGTGGGAGCTATTTGTTATGGGACCTTGGGGAACAACAGGACTGGAGAAGGAGCGGGGAGGCTGGAGGATCTGAGACTTGTAAAAATTCATTAAAAATATGAGAAGCTTTTGGAGACAGAGGAAATTAATTACTCTGAGGGACTCAAATATCATTACTCATTTAAGTGACCTGGTGAGGAGGCTGAGAAACCTTTTTACTGATGGTTTCTATAGTGGAGGAGGTTGGGAGCTGGGATTCCTCAACTGTCAATTTTTGCATTTCGTTGGTGGCTTATTGACATGTTAAGCTGATTTGCACCCCAGCCTCCTCTAATGAATAGAGTTCAATGAGAAATGGGGTTGGGGTCGGGGGACACTCGCCTCCTCCTTCTGCCCCACCACCACCATAGCATGGCCAGGTTATTTAGATGAGCTTCACCATGTAAGTAACTGCTACACCTAGGGGAAGCCTGTAATTTGCCGCAATAGAGAGAAGAGGCTGATCATTTGATGCTGGACTGAGTTTGATCTTTTATTATTGCCTTTCCATCCACAAAGCTATTCTCTGAGGTAGAGTGAATTTGGGAAGACAAATTAAGGTTTTCTACCTAAGGAGGACTAGGGAGCAGTAGCTTCTGAAAACAGTCATCTTTTCTAGATTGCCTGTCTAATAAATCTCTTTAATGCATTCTGCCTATAGACAGAGGTTGAGAATATATAGATTTGTGATGACTTAGAAGTTTAAAATCAGTAAGCATTGAGAGCAATGGAGTAAAAGCTTTCTCATACATGTGCCTTACCTAGACTCGGAACTTCAATGTTTTAATTTGAGCTCTGCCATTATGCCCCTGTGAGGCCCTATCCAAGTCACCATAGTCCTTTCAGCCTCTGTTGGATGATTTATAAAGCAGAAAAAGTAATATCTATCTTCTGTGATTGTTAAGAAGATCAATGTGCCAAAAGACCTTTGAAGGATGGAAATAACATCTGGGTATGTGGTATCCTTATCACCTATTGATATATTCTGTTTTAAAAGTATTCATCCTTAAACATTGAGGAAACTCAGTGGTCTGTGTTCCTGCTTGGGTTAAGGTTAAGGGGCTTGGCAGTATCCTCCTGGCTTGGTCAGTTAGGAATGGTGAATCAGCAAGCCAAAGAAGGAAGAGCAAATGTTGACCTGAAGACTTCTCTAGGGGGACGTTATTTACATGGTTTGGGGAAAAAGAAAATAAGTAAGCAAAGCCTACCCTTGGAGAAGGTGGGAGCCCTGGATGTTCGCCTCCGGGGGAGTCCCAAGGAGTTACCACCTCTCCAACTGGAAAACATCCTATGCTTTTGAAATGGAGACACATCATTTATTTGAAGGTGCATCATTGATAAAATCATGCATTGCTGAAGGTAGTGGAGGCGATGTTTGAAGGTTATTCATCTATTCCTAGAAAGAGATGATGAAGTAAACTAGGGCAGTGTCAGTGGAGATAAAGAAGAAACGAGAGCTTTGAGAGTCCTTTGCAAGGAAGGACTTCCAGGCTTCAGTAGCCCTGGCAACAAGCATGTAGAATATGGAGCAGTACAGTGACTCCACACTTCAGAGTGTTCCCTAGGTGCTTGTACTGTCATTAATGTAAATGTCAAAAAGAGAAGGATACGATCCCTCCCCACAAGGAGCTCAATGAGGTAAACTATAATCATATAGAGCAGACAGAAATAAGCCCAGAAGAGCAATGCTGTGCTGAGAAAGGGTGCTACTTGAGCTGGACCTCAGTGATGAGCAGTCTGTGCTGGGTGAGAAGGGTTCGAGGCAGACATTCCACAGAAGACCAGCTGCATACAGCAGCACTGAGCCACAGTTGGTTAGAGAGAAACACACTCGGCCTGTTACATTTCTTCAGCAACCAGAGTATTTTGGGGTTTTGTTTTCTGTTTTGTTTTTTGAGATGGGGTCTCGCTCTGTCACCCATGCTGGGGTGCAGTGGCATGATCTTGGCTCACTGCAGCCTCAACCTCCTGGGCTCAAGCGATCCTCCCATCTCAGCCTCCCAGGTAGCTAGGACTACAGGCACACACCACCATACCCAGCTAATTTTTTCATTTGTTTGTAGAGATAGGATCTTGCTATGTGGCTCAGGGTAATCTTGAACTCTTGGGTTCAAGCAATTCTCTCATCTCAGTCTCCCAAAGTGCTGGAATTACAGGCATTAGCCACCATGCCCAGCAGCAACCAGAGTTTTGTGCACCAGCATGTACTCAGTGACTTTCAAAGGCTTTCATGCTATTGTTGTGTCCTAGACGTGGTAGACTACCTGCCTGTCCTCATTAGCCACCCTTGTAGTAGCCCAGGGACTTGTCCTGAGAAGGTTCAGAATGCATTCTGAATAGTTGCTAAAGCAACTGTCCCCATTCTTTAGTGTTCTTTTGTGGGTTTTTTGTTTTGTTTTGTTTGCCATTACCTTTTAGAATTACTTGAAAGTCTTCAATTGGCATAATTGAGCTATTGGTTATTCATTTATTGTATTGTTTTAATTTGTCCATCTTTATATTCATCTGCAGCCATCATAGGTGAGATAGTATGCCTTTCCCATTTGGATAATAAGATGGTAACAAGACAGAAAAATGTTTTCTTGCTATTTTTTCTTTTCTCCCCCTTCTTCAGTTCTTCCCTTTAGTGCCTCCTATATGACTCTTTGTTTTTATTTCCTCAGATTCCATCTACTTACCCTACTTTTCTTCTTCATTCTTATAGAATCACACATTTTCCAATTTGAAAGAAAGTAGGAGATTCTAGATATCCAGGCCCCAAGTGTAAAAACTTCGAGAGGGCTCTTAACCAGGTGGTAATTTCCCCTTTCTTCTCTGTTATTTTTGGTGGCAGTGGTGGTGTTGCTTTTCAAAGCTGAATGTCTTAGATTCAAATCTCTGCCCCAAGATATAACAGCTGTCTGACATTGAGCAAATCAATCCCTTTAAGCTTCAGTTTCACATCAGGAAAATGAAGGTAGCAATAATACTTTCCATAGAGTATTGTTGTAAGACTTAAACAAAATAATGCATGTGAAAGGGTCTGGAACATTACACAGTCTTGACTTATAATGTCAGCAGTTATTACTGCTCATAATAATAAACATATACCATTGTAAACCCTTAAAATGCAAAAGGCAGATATGTTGATCTTTTTGACAACAAGGAAGGAAGAAGCTGAAGAGACTCTTTCCTACTCTATAGCTGGTCTTATAAAATGAAAATTCCTAGGGGCAGAGAAACAGACAGCAGCTAAATCCCTGGGTTCACAAGGAGCCCTCCCTGGCTGGAAAATGACCTCACTGCTAAACAGTCAGAAGGCCTGCTAGGTTTCTAAGCTTCTCCTGGGCCTCCAAAGAGCATCTCAGTCAGCCCTCTGCCAGCTACAATATTCCTTCCTGGATAGCATGGTAGCTTTGTAATATACCAACGTGACTAGATTGAATTACATTACCGAGAATCTGGTTTCTTGGCATGTTTTCAGTTAGGTAGGCCACAGGGAGACTTGGGAGGTATAGGAGGATAGAAGGGAGGTGGCAGCCATCCTGTAACTCACATGCTGTTGCTCATCTGTGGATCCAGATGAACCTTGGCAGCATGAAGCAGCATGTGGGCCTGTAACTGCTTTCCCCCTCCCTGGATTCTCCTTCAGCTTCTCCATGTCCATGTCCAGATGTGTGTGCTTAACTCTTTGACAAAGGACTCTGGCTTCTACAGGTCACCCACATCATCAAGCTGCAAAGCAGTAAAAACCAAGGTTCTCATTCATTCTCATGGGATTTCAGCTCATGCTTCCGGATTCTGAACTGCTCTCAATTTCCCCTTTAAAATCCATTTTCCCTTCCTAATGGCTTGCCCAGTGGGCTTCAAGCTCTAGCATCAGATGTGAGACAACAGACTTACAGACTGCTTAACCAGCACCCACAATTGCGTAAGGCCAAATCTCTCTAGTAAATAAATAATGCATATATAGTTATAAAATATATATATATTATATAATGTATTCATTTTTTCATTAGTGAAACAGAACCAACCACTAAGAGATTATATATGTGTGTATGTACATATGTGGGTATGTGTGTATATATGTATGTGTGTATATATATATGCATACACACACATATGTGCATGCACATATACATCATCTACAAGTGCTTGTTTCTGCTTCTCTGGTTGCACCCTGATTGATTCAGACAGGCATGAGCTTTTTATAATAGGGAATTCCCTACTTCATAAGGCAGCACATTTATTTTCTAGCTTCCCTCTATGACTCCCTTTTCTGTAATACAGCAAAAAAGAAATTAACCTTGTAATCCAAAAATGTTTTTCAGTCCTGATATAGCCTACTTTCTCTTCTGGACTTGTGCGCCTCTCAGCCCTAAAGCCTCTCACCACCTCATCGCCACAGACCTCACCCATTCCAGTTCATTCTGTCTAGTTTCTCGCCTCTTTTGAACTTCCAAATCAGGCTCCTCATGAAATTAACCCCGTAAGTAGTACTATGCTAGAGAGGCTTTTCTGACCATTCCATTTCACCAGGCTTGTTTCCTTCTCATCCTCCCTGTGCCTTTCGAAGATAATGCCTTGATTCTGAATGTTGACAAGGCACAAGGTGATATAGAGGGAAGAGAGGAAATCACAGAATTTAGAATCAGAAGACCCTCGTTTGTGTCTGGTCACCACAGAGTGCTGACTGCATCTGTTTATTTAGCTTCTGCGGGCCTCAGTTTTCTCAGTTGTGAAATGGACACACTAATTGCTGACCAGCCTATTTTCAGACGTTCTCTGAGTCCACTGAAACCTGAGCAGTCCTAGATGTTTGAGGTCCTTCAAACTTGAATCCGACTACCCAGTCTCGGATTAGCCCAAGCCTAGGTTAGGGAAGTTCCAATTGTGACCAAGTGTTGAGCTTGAGAATTCGTAATGGAGTGGCAAATCAGGACACATTTTTTAATACAAATAAATATCTTGAAGTAGTAATAACCTAAATTTGTATACTATTCAGGATCTACCATAGTAAATCTTTTCCTAAATTGTTTCTTGAAGAAGCTGAAGAAATGAAATATATAGTGGTTCCTTTTGAATAAGAGTGTATGTAAAAAGTCCTTATATATCAAAAATGTCACAAAGGGAAAACACTGAATATGAAAGAATAACTAAACATTCTCTTGCTCAAACCAGTTAATAACTAACATAAAAGCAAATGCAAAAATAGACATGATAGAACAATCTATTATAAATCTGACTACAAATAAGGAACTAAAAGCTATAAGTAAGAGACTTTTAAAAAAGAACACAGCCAAGTGATGAAATCAAGTATATACAAATGAAACTGTGTGAATGAATCATATAACTATCCATTCAAAGACAAGAGCCCCTGACCTCTCAAGCAGAGGGTATCCATGCAAAGAGAAGAGGTAACTGTAGGAACATCTTATTCTTAAAGTGCAACATAGGCAGCCAATTGTGAGTGCACAAACCTGGCTAGAAAAATCTCCGTAATTGGCAGGTATATTGCCCCCAGACAGAGATGTGGAGGATAAAAGGTGACAGCTGAAATCCGCATTGATGACCAAGCCTCACTCTGCTCCCCTGCACACATTTATATGTGAACAATAGCCAAAGTTGAAGAAATAGCTGGCTGTTCCCCCATTGTCCTCCCTCAACACACATCCTGCCTATCTTACAAGCATCAAACAAGTGCCGTAGTCCAGCATCTGGCACATGGTAGGTGCTCAAGTAATATTTGTGTGAGGTGCACAGGTATTAATGAATTGCCAAAGAACTCATGGAGAAAGTCTAGAGATATTAGCAGACATTATGACAGCATCTGGGACAAAATGAAATGGAACAAAAAATGCCCCGGAGAGTTATTCTCTGCTAAAGATTTAACACGCTGATGTTCATAACACCTCACCTGCCAAAGGTATCCTATTCAAAATGAAGGAAGCAACAGAACAGGATTAAATTGGCACAGCTGGAGAAGGTCTGCCTGTGTGAAGAGCTGAATGTTATCTCCAGGCAACGGATGGAGTTGTAACGTGAATATTTTTATTTTTAGCGTTGGGGAGAAAATGAATTTGATCCAAGAGACACCTAGAGTTGATAAGAGAAGATTGGGGCTTGAGGGAGGGAGGGGATATATAATAAGCTCAGATCAAGAAGGCTGAGCAAAGAGGTAGAGTAGAGGGGAGACATATGGAAGTGGATCTTGTTATTACAGAGTGGTGCCAGAATGTGTAATGAGGTGCTCCAGGGCACCTGGTCAACACAGGCTCCCTACTGCTTGGGACAAGCAACATCAGAGTAGGCACCTAAGGGCTAGGGAATCAGCTTCCAATGGATAAAGAATAGCAGCAATCCTCCTGTATGGAATGTCTGTGTCCTTTGGGGAACAGGAGATTCTTTATTAAATCACTTAACATGGTATATTATATTTTTCTGTTTGCATTTTTCTCTCACTCTTTACATTTTCCTATGGTACTGAGACATGTTTTTTCATTGTTTCTTGTTTGTTTTGCATCTTTATTTCTAGCACCTAGCTCTGAGAACTTAAAAAAAAAATCACTGAGCACTTCCATATGCTAATGATAATAAATCAGACCCTGGACATGTGAGAAAGCTATTGTTATCTGCGTTTGTAAGTAAAGAGGCAGAAGATCAGAGACGTGAAGCAGTTTGCTTATAGTCACACAACTGGTGAATTGCTGAACTAGGACTCTAACCCAGACCTATGTGGATGAAATTTGTGAACTGCTCACAACTTCCCTAAATCTCGGAGCCTGTAATTGAGGAGGTGATCTCTAAGTTCTTGAGCACTTCTTGGAAGGAAGGAGGAAGAGAAGGATACAGGATGAGAGGATAGATAATGAGACTGCAAAGGAAAAGATTTGAATAGCAATAACCAGACTTGGAGAGTATCTGTTCTGGACAGATCATAGACAAATAAGCCTGACACAAATATTATTCAGAGATTACGCTGGGGTTACTGAATTATAAAAAAAAAAGGAACCAGCACTTTGGGAGACTGAGGTGGGCAGATCACATGATCAGAAGATCGAGACCATCCTGGCCAACACGATGAAACCCTGTCTCTACTAAAAGTACAAAAAAATTAGCCAGGCGTAGTGGCGGGCGTCTGTAGTCCCAGCTACTCGGGAGGCTGAGGCAGGAGAATGGCGTAAACCCCAGCAGCGGAGCTTGCAGTGAGCGGAGATTATACCACTGCACTCTAGCCTGGGCGACAGAGCGAGACTCCGTCTCAAAAAAAAAAAAAAAAAAAAAACCAACAAAAAAAAGAGGGAACTGGGCAAGAGTTTCACCAGGGAACATTGGGTTTTATCCATGAAGAAACCAGGAATTTAGACTAAGTCAGGTATATAAGAATATAAGATCAAAGTTGGAAAGGGAGTGAGGTGGAGATTTGTATGAAGAAGAAAGCTCTGCTGGTTGGCTTCCCTGCAATGAGCTAACCCCAACTCACCCATCCCACCTCCACTCCCAGGCCTCAATTTGCTCATTTTGTCCTTATAGCAACCTTAGAGGAAATAATTATTATGTTTTAAGGATGAGGAAATTAAGACACTAATTAACTCACTAATGCCAGGAGTGAGTTTGAATGCAGTCACTAGGACTAAGTTACTCAGACACCAAACATTGTGGGAGTGTCCAATTTGCTGCAAGATGATTCTTCCAAAGGACATTTCTATAGGAATTTCATCTAACAGCAGCCTTCATTTAAGCCAAGCATGTCTCCTTCTATAAGTGCATTCAGGAAAAATAAAAAGACTTTCCTGAGCTTGCATGCCCCTAGATTCTTTACTTCTCTGCAGCTCTAATGTTACTCTAATGCTGATGTCTTTATTTATCAGTGTCTCAGCTGGGGACACTAGCTCTGGGTGTCCCATTGAAGGTAATGTTCCCAGATGGCTCACAAATTAGGTTCAATAAAATGTAGCCATTCTTCTCTTTTAGTGAGTCCTTAGTGCTGAACCCATTTAACTTACCTAATACCCTATTTGAGTTGTTATATCCTAAACATGGATTGATTAGAACAAGGGAATAGGCTCTCAGGGGAGTGCAATAAGCTTTTTGAAGTGGATAGAGGCCCTGCTTTGAAGCTGAAAATCCAACTTAAGGCTCCCTTTGCCACTTGTTAGCTGTGTGGGCTTGGTTTCTTGTGTCACCCTCCTCATTCATTTAGCCTCAATTCCCTTACCTGTAAAAAAAGGAAATTAGAAGTGGTTGTGAAGAGTAAGGGTGATATATATGTGAAAATACTTGGTAAAGTATAAATGGTTATAGAAACATAAGTTAATACAATACATTTAGACATAAAACATTAATAGGAGTGCACCACCTCACTGGAAACATACCCCTCAACTAGAAATTTTAACAAAAAAAGGAAGCAGGAAATTTTAGAAATCTAAGGAACCTCAGAGATGATCTATTTCAACTTCCTTTTTGGCAGATGAGGAATTTGAGGCCCCAAGTGATGAGGAACTCACATTAAGTCACATAGCAAATGACACAGAGAGCAAACCTGTAATACACGAGACCTGCATCTGCACTCATCATCTTCTGCCCACAGCCTCTACTTCCTCTCGTGCCATGCTTCTGCAGACTGTGGCCTTTGATGGAACCGCTGAAACCAAGAGCTTCCAACTTCACATGCCAGAGAGAAAGCCCATGCCTCTAAAGCCTGACTATTCCAAGTATTTTGGGGACCTTTCTTTTATCTGCAATTAGAAGGATGAATATTACAATTTTAGAAAGATGGCCTATCTAATGTGATTTCCGTGGGACTCTGTATGGTTTGTGTTTTCAGCACTGAAGGGAGTATCTAGAGCACTTGTTGATTCTGTCTCTGAAACAGACTCAAACATTTTCTTCCCTCTCCAGTACATTAGACTGTAAGCACCCTGAGGGCAGCGACCTTGTCTGTAATCTCTTTCACAAGAAGACACCCCCAGTGCTGAGCATGATGCACAGTGCATGCTCAGTATTTGTTGAATGAAAGAGGGCATACCTGCTGCCTTTGCCTTAGTTCATGGACACATTATTTTCTCAAGAGCTTCTTAAAGTGCTCCAACTCTAGTCTCACTCCTTCCAAACCCTCCTTCACACTGCCCTCTGAGTATCCTGCTCAATTACAAATATGAAAAGGCGACTCCTCTGCTTAAAACTTTTCAGTGGCTCCCCTTTGCCTACTGGAACTGGAAAAGTTCCTTATTGGAGACTTTAAAGTTATTTACTAAAGTTATTTATAAAGAACTTTATAAAGTTATTTACTAAAGTTCTTTATAAAGAACTTTATAAAGTTATTTACTAAAGTTCTTTTTATAAAGAACTTTATAAAGTTATTTACTAAAGTTCTTTATAAAGAACTTTATAAAGTTACTTACTAAAGTTCTTTACTAAAGTTCTTTATGAAGAACTTTATAAAGTTATTTACTAAAGTTCTTTATGAAGAACTTTATAAAGTTATTTACTAAAGTTCTTTATGAAGAACTTTATAAAGTTATTTACTAAAGTTCTTTATGAAGAACTTTATAAAGTTATTTACTAAAGTTCTTTATGAAGAACTTTATAAAGTTATTTACTAAAGTTCTTTATGAAGAACTTTATAAAGTTATTTACTAAAGTTCTTTATGAAGAACTTTATAAAGTTATTTACTAAAGTTCTTTATGAAGAACTTTATAAAGTTATTTACTAAAGTTCTTTATGAAGAACTTTATAAAGTTCCTGGCCTTATCTGTAGAACCCTCTCTTTCCATCCCCACCTTTCAACACACACACACATACACACCCCCAACACTCACACCCTTGTATTTGTTTCCAGCCACACTGGATTACCTATGACTGTTACAAGAAAAGATCCAACTCTTTCCATACCATTTCTTCTACCTGGAATGCCCTTTCCTGCCTTTGCCATTTGGTGAACTACGTATTCTTCAAGCCCCTTCCCTCACTGCTTTGGTGTCTTCTGAAGTCCAGCTCATTAGGGGGACTCCTCAGGAACATGAACTGTGTCTTTGATCTCCATGGATTAGGAAATAGGTGATAATCCTGAGCATTAGACCTTTCTCTTCAGCAATACAGATTATTGAGATGAGGTTAAAACTAAGCTGAGTTATGATGATGACAGCATTTGTGCTAGATCTAAGCACTAGGAGAAGGATGGTTTGCATGGTAGGATCTGGGGAAGAGCAGGGACTTGCACACCATTGCAGATGACATCATTCTCAGCAGATCTCAGCCTTATCATCTGACACTCCTCGCCCAGAACTGCTGAAAACATGTACTTCATAAAATGAAAAAATATATAAACACTGATTTTTATCTCCTCATTTAACTCTAATAAAGTTATCACACATGATTTATTGTTTTTATTAATGAAAAGTAACAATATGCCATGTTTTTGTAAGCCCCTTTTTGATTATTTATGTATTCATGAATTTTAATGTTAAAACTAATCTAAACATATTCTGTGGAGTTTAGAAATTAGCAAAAAAACAAAAAACAAAAAATAACCATCATCCCTCATTTGGGTATATTTATTTTTTCTAGTCTTTACATTATGCATTTTTATATTTCATTTTATATGACTAGTATCAGATTATAAATACAAATATAAAGCTTAGTTGGTTTTACCCATGCCAAAAGTGTTTCTCTATGCTGCCAAATACTCTCAGTAACAATCATTGTAAACAACTGAATAATATTCCATTGAGTAAATGCTCCATTATTAAGTCGATCCACTATAATTCATTTAGTCATTTCCCTATTGTTGAAGACTAGTTTCCTTGCAAGTTTTTATCTTTATCAGTTATATATGAGGACACCTTCATAACACAGAGATATTCTACCCTTTGTTGTTATTGCCTTAAGATGTCTCTGATGCCTATTACTAATTTGTAAGCACTCCCCTTACTAAAAACATTTAATGCCCTCTTACATTCTACCTCCTGTCCAAGATTGAAGTTGATTCATGCTCCCTAATACAGAATCTGAAGATCTTCATACCCTGGCCCTTGTCTAAGTCTCAGCATCCTGTCTTTATCAACCCTGCCTCCCATGTTACCCTCACCTGCCGACCTGCCTTGGTTTTGATACACATACCAAGCTGTGCTTTCAGCCCTGTGTTGGTGCTCAGACTGCATGATGACCTCAGCTACCCCTACACACACCTGCATATACCCACCACTCTGCTCAAACCCAGATCAGCTGGTGCCTCCTCTGGGAATTCTTTGCTGGCTCCTACAGGATGGATTAGGCATCTTTCCCCTGGGATTCCACGATTCCCTGTGCATATCTTTATCATTACGCTGACAACACTCCATTGAAAATATATGACTCACTGAAGCTGGGAATGCATTTTTTTCATTATTTCTCCAGTTGCTTGCACAATTCCCAACACATAGTTAAGTATGACATAGGTGATAAACCTATCAATAGATTTGGCAACTGAGATATTCCTGTAATATGTTATGGGAAGAGCAAAATATGTAAAGTATTAGTAGATAGTAAGTATCTCATCTTATCCCATTTTTAAATGGTATGAAATATTAGTAAAGCACAAAGAAGAAAAATATTGTGAGATTGCTATAAAAAAAGCCCCTGCATACTGAAGAATACGCAAAGACCCCAATTAATTTATGTACAGCTTTACAAATATGTAACTTTTTTAATTTTTATGACCCTGTCTCATTAACTACCATCCATATGTTAATGATATCCATATTTATCCATATTTATATTATCCATCCATATTTCTCTCCAATCCTATCACTTCCCTGAACTTAGAACTCCATCTGTATCCTCAAACATCTCTATTGGATGTCTGCTGGCAACTCAAACTTCAAGAAAATTCAGAACTAAACTCTCGATTATCTGCCCCAGCTATTCCTTCCATAACCTTTTCCATCTTAGTGAATGGCAACTCTGGTATTCCAGGTGCTCAGTCAGAACCTTGGAGCCACCTTTGACCCACCCTGCTCTTTTGTACACCCCATATCTCACCCACGAGCACATTTTGTTGGCTCTACCTGCAAACTGCATTCAGGATTCAGCCAGTCTTTACCACCTTCTCTACTGCTAGTACCCTGGTCAAAGCCACTATCGCTGTTCATCTGGATTATTGCAAGCACCTCCTGACTGATTGTTTAGCTTTCAACTTTGTGCCCATATTTTACACACAAGAGTATCCTTTCAAATGTCCTCCTGTCCTTGTTTAAAGCCCTCTAATGACAACCCATCTTGAAGTCCTAGCATGGTGTACCAGTCTGCTTGGGCTGCCATAACAAAATACCACAGACTGGGAGGCTTAAACAACAGACATTTATTTTCTCACAATTCTGGAAGCAAGAGGTTCAAGATCAAAGTGTCAGCAAATTTGGTTTCTGGTGAGACCTCTCTTCCTGAATTGTAGGGAGCCGCCTTCTCACTGTAGCTTCACGTGGCCTTTCCTCTGTGCACACTCGGGTAGAGAATGGGAGAGAGTGCTCCAGTGTTTTCATTTTCTTATAAGGGCACCAGTTTTTTGTTTTTGTTTTTTTTTTTTTTTTTGAGACCGTGTCTCGCTCTTTTGCCCAGGCCGGACTGCTGTGGCGCTATCTTGGCTCACTGCAATCTCCACCTCCCAGGTTCACGCCATTCTCCTGCCTCAGCCTCCTGAGTAGTTGGGACTACAGGCGCCCGCCACCGCGCCTGGCTAATTTTTGTTGTATTTTTAGTAGTGACGGGGTTTCACCGTATTAGCCAGGATGGTCTCGATCTCCTGACCTCGTGATCTGCCCGCCTTGGCCTCCCAAGGTGCTGGGATTACAGGCGTGAGCCACCGCACCTGGCCAAGGACACCAGTTTTATTAGATTAGAGCAGCGGTCCCCAACCATTTTGGCACCAGGGACTGGTTTTGTGGAAGACAAATTTTCCATGGACCAGGGTCAGGGGGATGGTCTCAGGATGATTCAAGTGCATTACAATTATTGTGTAATTTATTTATATTATTATTACATTGTAATATATAATGAAATAATTATACAACTCACCATAATGTAGAATCAGTGGGAGCCCTGAGCTTGTTTTCCTGCAACTGAGGGTGTGATGGGAGACAGTGACAGATCATTAGGCAGTAGAGTCTCATAAGGAGCACGCAACCTAGATCCCTGGCATGCTCAATTCACATTCCCATGAGAGGGTTCACACTCCCATGAGAACCTAAGGCCATAGCTGATCTGATAGGAGGCGGAGCTCAGGCAGTAACGCAAGCGATGGGGAGTGGCTGTAAATACAGATGAAGCTTCGCTTGCTTGCCTGCCGCTCACCTCCTACTATGCGGCTCAGTGCCTAACACACCATGAACTGGTACCAGTCCATGGCCCGGGGTTTGGGGACCCCTGGATTAGAGTACTGCCCTTATTACCTCATTTAACCTTAATTATCTCCCTAATGACTCTATCTCCAAGTAACATCATGTTTGCATTGGGGCTTAAACTTGTGAATTTGGGGAGACACATTTCAGTTCATAACTGCAAATTCCCATGTGATTCATGGCACACTGTCCTCACCTCCGTTAGCTGCTATAGCCAGCCTGGGTCCCCTGTACCTCCATGAATACTCCTAACATGCTCCCATCTCAGAGATGCTGAACTGGCCGTCCCTCTGCCTAGACTGTCCTCCAGACATCTGCATGGCTTACCCCTTATAACCTTCAGATCTCTGCTCAAATGCCATTTATTGGCTATTTCTTCTTTGACCACCTTATATAAAATAGTATACCCTCCCCACCCCATTGCCATACCTCTATAATCTGTACCTTGTTTAACTTTTCTCTAAAACATTTTCACCACCATTATATATTTATTTGTTTATTCCTCTTTTCCTCCTCCATTCCAGTGGGAGAAGTATAATCTCCTGAATACAAGATTTTCATTATACCTTTTTGTTTACAAGGATATTGCTGGCACCTAAAACAGTCCTGGCACACAAAAGATGCACAATAAACATTTGTTGAATGAATGAAGTTTCTTTCTTTTTATTATCTTATTTCAGCTTCGAACCAAATCTGGAAGAGGGTAAGGTAGATATTTGTTCTATTTTTACACGTTAGGAAAACTAGTACTTATAAAGGTTAGGTTTCATATCTGCAGTGATCATTTCATTTGTTTGGTGCTTACTATTGCCAAGGGATATGCATACTATTATATTTGCTTTCATTTAATCCTTAGAGTAATCCTAAAAGATTATATATTATTATCTCTATTTTAACACAATTACTTACACCTTAGAAAGGTTCAATAACTTGCCCAAGGGAGCCACTATTAAGTGACAGCCCAGATCAGAACCCTCATCTGACTTTAAAGAGCTTGTTTTTATCTGCTATTATAGCTCACGTTCTTTCAGCACAATGCTGTGTGCCAGGTACTATGCTAAATCTTACATTATTGTCTTCATTTTGAAGATGAGATCACTGAGGCTATGAGATGTTAACTCTTCAAGGTCACACCAAGCTGACCTTAAAGTGTGTCAAATGCTAGCTGTCTTCTTTAAAGAGGCAGGTCTTGAACCTAGGATTTCTTACTTTCAGTTTCCCTGCCTTTCTGCACTAACTGCCTAGATTAACCCCATGGTCCAGGATGCGCCAGCCATGGCACACTGTAAGTTTATATTTGCAATTCTGGTCTCAATTGACTCTTGTGAGACAGAAAATTTTGACTGATAAAGCAACTTAGTATGACCATTAAAAATATTGACAAACGTTATATGACCTAATCATTTTTAAAAGATTGTTCAGTCACTCCCAGGTTAGGTCTGCTTCTTTGTACCTATTCTCTTTCTTCTTAGATACCTGGCAAAATGTACGTGTGTTTCACTCCGGCTCTCTCCCTTCCTCTAATGGCATCACTTAGGTTCAATAGTGGAGAAGGGTAATTGAATCTATTTTTCAGACTTTCATTGGTGGGCTCTCTTCTGGGCACATATTATTAGAATTGTGGGAATCAGACATTTCTTTAAAGTAGAGATTGTTGGGCTGAGCCAAGGAGATTATTAAAAGACATTACAATGCCAGCCTTAGAAAATATATGGGACACCTAGATTCCCCACTCTGTCCCTCCCTTCCCAGCACAAAGCTTATTCAAACACCTTTCCAGGAACAGCATTCTTCCTTCAGCCGGTCCTCAGCAGCCTGCCCTTGCAATCCACTTGCCCACCACACATTGGGCCAATGATTCTCAGTGTGGTCCCAGGTTCAGCAGCATCAGCATCACCAGGGAACTTACTAGAAATAAAGAAACTCAGGCTTCATCCCGAAGCCACTTAATCAGAAACCCTGGGAGTGAGGCCAGCCCTCTGTTTTCACAAGCCCTTCTGGTTATTCAGATGCGTGCTCAAGTTTGAGAATTCCTGAATGAGAAGTGTCATCTCGGCCCCCTCCTCTCCTCACAGCCTTGGCCCTGTAGTGTTAGACAACAGGACACAGCTTCTCCCGATCTTGCTCTTCCATCAAGCCACAACTAAAGTGACAGAGAGCTCTACTCAGGGGCTCAGATCCTGACATATTTGGTACATAGCTTTGAGCCTGATTTAGAGAACAATATTCTTAACTGTAAAACATATGGAAAAGCCATGTTTACTGAATACTTACTGTCTGCTTTAGAAAAATCATATTACTAACCTTTCCCATTTTGATCATATCTTTGGTCTTATCTAATACAGCATAATAAGAACTACTGTTTAATCTAGTACATTCTATTTGCTTTAAATTTAAAAGAAAAGTATCCTTATGATCCATTTAAAACACATAGTACTACAACTCCTGTCAGAGAATAACAATTCCTTACTTCCTATATACCCACCACTCTGAAACTTTTATTATTTTAACATTTTCTTCTGTTATTTTACTCCATTCTAAATAACACACTTACATTGCTATTTTTTGATTTGTCAGTTTCAGGTGTTATCTCTTGACTTCCTCTTACCATGAGTGAGAATTCCATTCTCCTGAGTTTCCCTTCTCCTCACAACTCTCACACAATACTCCTCCCCACTGTTTCAACTCCACCCCAACCTTCCTCTGTCTGTGTCTGCCTGGTGCTGAATTTCTTCAGTGAAATTGTGAATTTATTGATGGCATCCAACCCCATCTGCATCCTGTCTTAGCGTTTTAGCTTCCTCTACCACGCTAGTCACCTACCACTTTCCTCTCTGCTTCTAGTCTCATAGAGTACTGATACTGACACCTTTCATCCGCTGTGGCTGATCCCAATTTCATGTTAAACTGGAAGTCCACTCATGATAAACACACACCAAATTTCACACAAACGCTATTAAAGAAAAGATTTATTTTTCTAATAACACTTTAATTTAGAAACATCTGGTAATAATGTATACTAGAGTAGTACTCCACTAATAATTTATACTAGAGTAGAATTTGCACCAAGTTCCACGCCTATGCAGCACTACGTTGTAGTAATCCTCTTACACATGTGGAATTATTATAAGAGTCCTTTGGAGACTCTCTAATATTTAATTCTTAAAGTAGTTCTGCAATTTAGGTATACCAGGTCCCTGGCCTCCCTAAATCCCATATACCTCAGACAATATCTTCTACTCCCTGTAGACTGTTCCCTCAGAAGCCTACAATGGAATATTTGTTGTGCCTGATATAACCCTTTCCCACTTCCCTGATCAATAACTCTGATATGTCTCCTGATGCTAATACCCAATTACCATCTATCAGAGGGTCCTGTGTCCTGGTAACATGGAGCAGGGAAGGTACCAGCCTTAAGTGAGAAAAAAGCCAGTCTTCTTTGCCTCTGCTGATTTGGGCTACTGACCCCTCCTTTGGGTCCTGGTACATTTCCCTGCTGAATGTCAGGTTACTCTCAGTTTGCTAACTCCATTTTAGTGATTGCAGTGCTGCGGCAAGGTAACAATTCTGTTATTTCAATTTTTATTTTACATACTATCAGTATTTTATTTTGAAAGTACACAAAATTTATGAAGTAAAAGGCTCAAAGAAACAAAGCTATTTAATGTACTTCAAATACAAAAACATATAGATACTATAAACATCAGGGACATTTTACAAAATGTAAACATAACTGTCATATAAATTATTTGTAGATGTAAATCACTAAGTTAAATATTCAAACCATAAACTAAATAGCATATAAACTAGAAAAATGCACTTAATTATGGAAATTGAAAATGAAAATGTTACTTGCTCTTTTTAAAATGTGCTAATTAAAAAATGAAATGAGTCAAGTGACATCAATGATTTGCAAATATATTTTTATGCAAGCTTTACTTGCTGCTGAAAAAGCTTTTCTGGTGATTTTGTGAATAGTCAGAAGAATGGTGAAGAGACACTTAAGAGCTAACCCTAAATATTTTCCTCTGAATTTCATCTTTAAATAACTTTATTTCTTATTTGATAATTTTGAGTTTTTGTTTGAACAACCCTTCCTTCCATGACCATCCCAATAAAGACTATACACAGGTTTTGTATTGAGAAGGAGCTATGTTTCCTGCCCACCCCCACCAAAGAAAATATATTTGATAAGTCTACATCTTCTGTATTTTTATCATGTGTAGTTGGTGGCTCTGATGCACAAGTCCCTGTATCCATTTCCATATTGTCACATTCATATTCTGTTTTCTCAGAAATTTTTTGAACTGCAGTAATAATTATTCTTTCAACAGGAGCTTTGCAGGACCATAATATGGTTGCTTATTACAATTCATGAAGGTCTGGACATGTTTAGACTTGTAGACTTTGTATCAGTTTGTCTTTTCACATAATTTGAATAATTAAATTGTTGATCTTTCTCTACAGATATTAATACCTACAATTTTGGACTTAAAAATAATGAAAATAGCATACCAACAAATCCGTGGATATTTCAGTGGTAAAATAGCAGAGTATATTTTAATTCCACAATTTGGTCATCACCCCTCCTTCCTCATCACGTGGGGTGCCCAGGATGCTTTGAGGCCAGGACTTCCTTTTATTAAATGGTGCTCAGTTAAGTGAAGTAATTAGCTTGGGGTCATGTGGCTAGCAAGTGTCAGCATTAAGATTTGAACTCAGTTCTTTGGATTCTAAAAACAGAGTAACTTTTGCTATCTCTTAGTAGATAACCCTACCCTTTTATATAAATAGACCCCATGTTGTCTACCCTTAGGGTGAAACAAATAACTAACATTTTTTTCTCGCAGAAATAATCACTTAGTGTAGCTTTAAGAGACAATTTTCCCGAGGTGAGGGTTATCGAACACTAGAGTGGACTCTTGCAGCAAGTTATAACATTTCTTTTTTCATCATTCTTAAAAATAATCGACATGAGGAGTTTTAAAATTTGCACAGGTTCCAGATGACCTCTCAAGATCTCCTTCCAGCTGTGATTCTTTAGGTCTGTGAAAACTTAAGACAATTGAAATCCGAAGTCACTTCCCCTGATATTTGGTCCTTTGGCTGTTTGTTGCCCTGCAAATGAAATATCTGGATGACAGAACTGAGTGATTTCTCCCTCTTATTTTTGAGTCTCATGTAGCCTCAGACTTTGTTTGCTGCTATGCCATTATCAAAGCATCCAGGTGGAAGGGATATCTCAAGAAATTGGAAATAATCTTGGTTGTCTTTCCTCTATTTGCTCCTTTCATCTTTTTCCTGTTTAATAAGCACAAAGTAAACACAGAACTGATTTTTTTATTCTGAAATGTTATGAACATTAAGCTCTGAGTATTATCATGGGAATGCATTTCATTTGAACTGAGAGGAGCCTTAATGTAATTTTTTAAGGGGGAAAAAAAAAACCCTCAACCTTTGTAATGCTATGACAATATCTCTTTGCTCCGTGGGTCTAGAAGGCCTCCTTCTGGCAGGTCAAGTGTTTCCAAATCAGTTCAGTTTTTTTTTTTTTTCAAGTTCTTGAGCTACCTGGAGATCTAAGTTCTAACTACCTAGGCAGCATTGTGAAAGATTTGAGCCTCTAGTAGGCTCTTGACATGAGTTTCTCCATTTAACTCAGACACACTCCTACCAATTAGTTCACATTATCCCATTTTAGTAATAAGCCAATTACAATTCAAAGTGGTTGAATGATGTGTTATGGTAGCCCTAGAAAACTAACATGTTTCAAAACTCTTCCTCCTTCTCCTTCATATTTAGGTCGTGTTAGCTCCTGGACAGTCCTCCAGTCCCACCTGTCAGATCTCTCTTTCCCCTCCTTACCTCTATAGGGCCCTAGAGCACTCAGGTGTGTTCCCCTAATTAATGGTAGGTGGGTGGGTTTTTCACACAAACACTGCAGCCAGTGGTCACATGAAATCTACATCAGTCTATAAATATTGATACTGTCAAGGCGCAAATAGCTGCTGGCCATTTATAAGAAATGCATGTGTTTCTGACATATGTTTAGTAATCTTTTCTAAAGTAAGCTCAGAATTTCTGCAACATGTAACAGTAAATGTGTCCCTTTCCTGTAGTGCAATACAGAGCAGAGAACTACTCATAAGAATTGTATGAGTTTCTGAAGATTTAATTACTTATATAATTGTATGCATTGTTACATATTTATGTTTTTAATCACAGGTTTAAAATTTGTAAGAACTGTAAGAACTCTTTTAAACTAGAAAAATGCTAAGGAGACTAATGAAGAGAGATCAAATAGGCGGCTAATTAAGTTAATGTGCATTCAATGCTTGGAATAGCACTGGGCACATAGTAAGCTCAATATAAGTGTTAGATGTAATTATTGCTTTGAGACAAAACTGAAAATCTCCAAATACAAAGCATCTTGGGAAATATTGAAGAAAGAGTAAAAACTGGAAATGAGAAGAGTAAAACTTTATCAAACTAATTTGATGAAAGTGCCAGATGAAATAACCAATAAGCTGTAACACCTGGAAACAAAATAGGAAATGTGGGTTGCAAATGTGAGCACTGCAAACAAAGACATTTGGTAATCAGTGAAAGATTTTTTGAATGACTGGTACAAAGGTCATATATGACCAAATAGGGTCGTATATGACCAAAGAGGTTAGATATTTTATAAGTTTTTAATTGTCTGCCTTCAAAACAGACAATGAGCTGTTTTGGATGGGATTTTATGGGACTTATTTAAGTATTTTCAGGGTCTAGTACCTGATACCAAGTGGCCACTCAGCGAATGTGTGATGAGTGAAGTAATGAATGAATGAATGGGTGAATGGCTGACTTAAGGTTCATGAGTTGGACAGGAAAAGGTGGAAGGAATTTACTAAGATAGCCACAATATCTGCCACATCTCTCTTCATATTTGAACTGCCGATTCCTTTGTGTCTTCAAACTGTGACTTCAGCCCGACCTCTAAAATTAATTGCTAACACTTGTGCAGCATATTACACTTTATAAATGCTTTTTTACATGTCAGTGCATTGACTTTGATCTTAAAACATCCCTGGAGTGCCAGACAAAGCAATAGCTGCTATCTGTTTTACAAATGAGGAGTCTGAAGCTCAGAGAGACTGTGACTTGCTCAAGGTCACACCCACGAGGCAGAGTCAGGACTCAGTTCCAAATTATCTCAACCCAAATTGGGTGTTCTTTTCACTTCACCATCGCCTGTGGCAGACAAAGAATGCCATGAATATCTCCACTCTTAGGGGAGTTATAACAGCCTTCCCAGGGAGGTAATAATTGAACTGGGCCTGAAACCATAAGCACTTGGCATCTTCTGCCAAAGTAGCCAGGAAGTAGTGCAAGGAGAGTTAACTCCAAGGATCTTGGAAGGACTAGGCACTGAGACTTGAACAGAGAGTGGAACTAAAGGGCCTGTTGCCCACCCCACCCTCAGTAATTGACATGATGCAGCATATTCTGCTGGGCTTAGGGCCAGTGCAATGCATTTACTCAGTAAATGCAAACAGCATGGGCTATGGAGTCAGGTTTTGGTTCAAATCCTACTTAGGCCCCTTAGTCATTATAAGACCTGGGAGAGATCTCCTTTTCAATTTTCAATTAAAAATATTCATTCAACATTTATTATATGCCATTCAGTGATTAGCTAGATTCTGATGACATAGTGGTTTAAAACAAAATTGCTTCTTCCATTACAAGTTGTCTAGTACTAAACAAGTGTACCATTTCATATGTCATGAGTACACAAAAGTTGTAATGGATAATAAGCAAAGACCTTAGCACATGTCTAGTACAAAGTAATAGTTCCAGCAATGGTAGCTATCTACAACGGCTTGAGAGACATGGTGTATTAGTGAGGGTTCACTAGAGAAACAGAATCAACAGGATATATAGGAAGAGATTTATTATACAGAATTGGGTCACACCATTATAGAGGCTGAGAAGTCCCACGATCTGCCACCTGCAAAGAAAAGCCAGTGAGTATAAGTCAGCTTCAGTCTGAAGGCCTGAGAACCAGGGGAGCCAATAATGTAGATTCCCAGTCTGGGTCCAAAGGTGTGAGAACCAGGAACACCAAGGGCAGGAGAAGATGGCTGTCCCGGCTCAAGCAGTCGGGCAGAAAGGGGTGAATTTCTCCTTCTGCCTTTTGTTCTATTCAGGCCCTCAACAGATCGGATGACTCTCCCTCACACTGGGGAGGACAATTTCTACTTTATTAAATTCACTGATTTAAACTCTAATCTCATCCAGAAACCCCCAGAAGTAGTAGTCTGTGCTCCCTGTGGCCAGTCAAGTTGACTCATGAAATTAACCATCACACATGGCACAAAGGACTGAAAGTTGATGTTTCCCCCACGATTTATACATTGGAATTCTAACCCCCAAGGTGATAGTATTAGGAGGCAGGGCCTTTGTGGGGTGATTAGGTCATGAGGACAGAGTCCTCATAAGTAAGACTAGTGCCTTTATGAAAGAAATCCCAGTGAGATCCCTCACCTCTTCTGCCATGTGGGGGCACAGTGAAAAGATGGCTATCTGTGAAGCAGGAAGCAGGCCCTCACCAGACACCCAATCTGCTGGAGCCTCAATCTTGGACTTCCCAGCCTCCAGAACTATGAAAAATAAATTTATATTATTTATAAACCACCCAATTTATGGTGTCTTGTTAAAGCAGCCCAAATACACTAAGACACAGGGGAAGGTTGTACCTGACCACTCACCCCCTCCATGGCTCTGTGTGGTCCAGTTTCGCTAGCTGCCAGCATTCAAGATGAGATCGTCCTCTGACGCTAATGATCTCTGCAGTTAGATCTCTAGACATCTCAGTGCCTTCACATCTATTAGACATTTTAATTACCACAACCATCCTCTGTGGTGTGAGTATGGTCATCTTCTAGTAATAGATTTAGGCCACCATAGCTTGTGACCCACAGAACACAGCAGGCTAGAGGTGAGCTTCTGCACTGCCCTGGTGTTCCTGCAGCCCAGAGAGCACTGACCATCATCTCCTTAGAAACCTTCACCAGCTCCTCACTGCTACCCAAATAGGAATACAGCCTCCTTGACACTGCATACAGAAGTGCTTCTCAAATGCAGATTTGTGGAAGCAAGCACAGTAATCATGATGAATAATCAAGTTGTCACTGCTTTGAAACAAACTTGAGAAAAAAAAAAGGGATTCCATAATGAGCTTTACCTAAATCTAAATGATCCATTCCAAACTAATATATTTTATTCTTATTGTTTCTTCTATTACTTTAGGTGTTAACTGTCACCCATTTCATATAATTACAATGCTAATAGACAGTATTTTGGTAAATGTCTTTATTTAATAAAATAAAGGTTCGACCCAGCTTTTTTGTTTTATTTTTGAAACTGGCCTATGAAATCCAAAAATAGGGCTTTTGTACTGAGCCAGAACTGGTGTACAACTGTTAGAACTATAAGGCCTTCTCCTTTTGGCCACTCCCCTGATTCCCGGTCTTCACTCTCTCCTTCTGTCTTCCTTTTTCCCCTCCTCCCTTTCCCTCCTCTAATTTAGCAGCCTGACTTTATCTTTTTACCATTCCTTAAAGTCTCTATAATTGCCTATGTCTTTGTGTCTATCCCTGCCCATCCCTTTGCCTGGACACCTTTTTCTCATCCTTCAAGACATACTTTAAAGCTTCATCTTCTATTTAACTTCCCTCTGCTTTCCAAGACAGTGCTAAACACTGTTTTGCCAGAGTGGGTGCTGATTGCCAGTGTAATACTTCCACTTTCTTAGCAGGGTTGTTTGCCTCCCCCATAAAACCCTGAGGCCTACAAGGGCAGAAATGGAGCCATGGCCTTCTTTTTATCCTCTGCTAGTGCCTAGCCCAGTGGCTGGCCTGTCCCTATAGACGCGGTGAGTGAGATAAGGGGGGAGATGGGGCATGAGGCAAACAAACAGAGAGAGGAAATACAGAGAGACACAGCACGGAGACAGAAAGATACACACAGAGAAAAGATAGAGCCAGGAGTAGAAGAAGGAGGAGGGAAAAGGAGGGAGGAAAGAAGAGAAGGAAAGAAAAACAGAAATCTGTTGTGAAAAGAAGGATAAAGGAAAGAGCAAAGGAGGGAAGTAGGGAGAAAAGGACCATGGGAGAGAAGGTTGTTGTGGAACATTTTAAACTCGCCTTCTCAAGGTGAAAATGCCTTCCTTCCCAGCATCCGTCTTTAACACATGCAGGGGGCTTTGACTTGTTGTTGACTTTTCGTCCTATAATTATTTGAATACATTTGCATTAAATTATATTTAGATTTTCATCATCTCTGTAATTTCCCAAGATAAATGGAAAAAAATCTTTAAAAAAATGAAAACGCTATAGACTATGTATTTAACCTTACAAAATTGGCAATTCATTAGAGAAAGAAGGCATTTGCTGCTTTAGCAAAAATATTTTGTTCGAGAAGATAGTGTCTGCCAGCATATGTAGGAAAACTCCCAAATAAGTCTTAGAATGACAGATCTTCATTAGCTTAACTCTAATTTTGAAGGTTTTTTTGGTTAGAAATGTATATATGGCTTTGTTAATGTGGCTTATTAGAAAGCATCTCAATTTCATAAAATTACAACTTACCGTTTGTAAGTGCATAATGTCATCTTTTCTAAGTTTGGATCTTTAAAAGTAAGTGAAAATTAACATTTCAAACCTAATTCTCCAAATAGAGGCAATGATAAATACACAGTTAAGGGTGCCTTTGAATGAAAAAGTGAGTTCTCATTTCAAGTTGGGTATAACCGTCTTAGCAACTATGATCCACGGAGCTCTTAAGCACTAAACACACTCCTTGTCTCATTGAGTATGCCCAACCACATTTTTGTTCCTTTCATCGTTTCCATTTCACCCATATGGAAACTCAACTCTGAGAGTTTAAGTCACTTGGGAAAGGTCATATAGCTGGTAAGTGGCAGAGCTGATTTCATCCTGGTGTCATGTGACACCAAAAGCCTGCAAACCAAAGTGTTCTTCCTGATATGATAAGGATTTACAACCTGTTAAAGACTGATTGATTCACTGACTTCTAGCCTGAAAAGATGAAAGGAGGAAAAAAGGAATTGTAATTTATTAAGTGCCTACTATGCATCAAGCATTTCAATGTATCCTTCCATTTAACTCTGACAACAAACCTGTGGGTTAGGGACTTTCTCCCCTTTGACTCCCAGAGAGGTGAAACAGCTTGCCTGGGGTCCCCAGAGAGACTCTCTAGTCATTCAGATGCCACAATAAGGCATGAAAGCCCAAAGTCTTCATAGCCTGCTTCAGTGGAGGAGAGAAGCATTCTTTGCCAGACTGTGTTTTGTTAGTGCATAGCATGAATTCTCTCATGGACTCCCCACAACAGATCTGTGAAGGAAGCATGCTATCTGGACCTCTTTCTTCACCTTAGAGCAGAGATGGATTTGACTTCAGGGCATGGACAGGTGTAAGAAGACAATCATCTCAGGACCAAGCTGGAACTGGAGAATGCAGGGGGCTTTTTGCAGGTCCAGCCTAGGGACGTTCAAATTCTGACTATTTCAAAACACAGAAGCCTGTGTTTGCAGACCGGCCACAGAAGCCTGTCTGCAGGCCTTGTTTATTCTGTCAGTTCCTTACCCCAGCCTAGTGGGGGATGTGGCCTCTTGCATGTCCCACTCAGTTTACAGAGCCTAACAATATCATTCATACTCTTATTTTAAGACAGTATGGCTGATGCTTCCAACTCTGGTACTCCAAAACCATCCATTCCACTTTCCTGCAGCTTCGAAAGTAGCTCCACACAGTGCTCATGTTATTACAAGACCCTTAATTGTTATTAATTGCCGTTGAAGGTGATGATAATTAACGCACTGTAATGAAGTGCTAGACCACCATCCTGGCATGTGTATTTAACCTGTGCTTGTCTAAGGAGTTCAACAAATTCGACAGAGACCTTCCTGCCTCGGTGCTGAAGAAGAGACAGGGGCGTATGAGTTAATTTGGAGATCCGGAAGCCCTGGGCCACTCCTTCCGTGGGAAGATCTCACCGCCTGTGGCCCATGCTTCCCTGCTTCCTGTCAGCTCTGCCGGCCCCCTGCTGCCAGGCGGCTTTGCTTGATCAGAACAGCAGGCTCGTTTGATGGCATGCCAACACGGATTTCAAACACCAATTACCACTCCGCCGATGACAAATAACGAAGGGAAAAAAAGCAGCAATGATCATTTAATAAATTTATTATGAAGACTAATAGCCCTTCTATAAATCACCCTGCCTTATTATTGAAAAACCTCAATTATTCAGACATGGAGACAACAGGGTTTAATTTTTAAATCATGGAAGCACAACTTCTGGCTGGCCTTAGGAGGACCTTGTAGGATCCTCATGGCCTAAACTAAGGAGTAAAACTCAAAGAAGACCAGGAAGGGGAGACAAATGACTAGGAAGTGCACAGAGCAAACACTGTCTATATTCTAGGTAGGCATTTTCTCATACACTTCATAGAGAAAATCCCATCTAGTCCTCACAAAATTGCACAAAGGCAGCGATGGAGCAGCAAAATGCTTAAGAATATCAGCTTTGGAATTAAGCTAGCCCTAGCTCAAGTCTAGAATCTACCATACCATAGCTGTGTGATCTTGGTCAAGTTACTTAACCTCTCTGTCTCAGTTTCCTAGTCCACAAAACAGGAAAAATGATAGTAGCTACCACACAGACTTGCTGTTGTCATGATTAAACACACTAAAATGTGGTGAATACTTATCACAGAAAACATTCCATATGTTATCATTAAGTCAGTTATTATTTCTGCACTTTATGTATAAGAAGATAGACTATCATCAACATTTAATATCTCATCCACAGACATACAGCTAATAGTGCAGCCTGGATTCAAACCCATATCTATGTCCAGCTCTGCCACCCTAGTCTAGCCTCACAACTTTTCTGTGTGAGTGGGGTAATGTCAAGGTTTGCAGTGACAGGATTTACTGGGCAAAAGATGCCTTGCACAGTCCCCTTCATCTCATTCCAAACCCGAAGTAAGAGTCTCTCCTCCTGCCTCCATGCCAGCTGTCTTCTAATGGGTAGAAACGTTAACACCCCCAAAGGGTATAACTGAAAATACAGGTCTCTTATTTCTGAAACTGATTGAAAACATGCATACTCACCTTTTCTGTTTGTTTGTTTTTGTTGTATGTTTCTTTAATAGTCGAGTATAAATACCTGCCCTCCCACCTCTCCTGTTTCTTATCACACATTGCATCACACATTTAAGCTACTGCAGGACTGCTCAGGGCATTTGAGTCTGGACTCCACTGCCAAAGCCTACTGATGCCTTGCTCTATGTCTGTGTCTCTGTATACAAATAGCTCAAGAGCAATATGCAGAAGATTGAGTTTGGTCAAGCAACTGGTTAGTTCAAAAAATATCTCAGTCAAGAAGTAATTGGGGGCCTATCTGTATCAGGCAAGGAACCTGGCAATGAAACCATACAAATGAGGGAAGCATTAGTACTTTGGAATATGGTTTTGATTGCCTTCAGAGGCAAGTCAGTCACTCTCTGCAGCGAGAATCCCACTTAATACCAAAGAGATGCAACAACATTTACTGAGCACCTGCTAGTGCTGGATCACATGCCAGATCCAGAGGCGCAGGTGTGAGGGATCATGTGTGCACCTTTCCACGGAGGAACTTACAATCGCCTAGCCTCAGAGTCCCCAGCCTAAACCCTCTTAGGGACAACCTCAGTTTCCCCCAAACCCTGCAGAAACTGGAAATCCTGAGTAAGCCCCAGCATTGTTCAAAAGTACAGAAGTAAAGATAGAGGGTAGGAGAGCCCTTCAGTGAGGGTTCATGAGTTCTGCGCCCTCTTCCCCACCCCCACGCACTATCCCAGCTTGTTATTCCCTCACAAAAGCAGTAAAATTACTGAGTAAAAGGAAGGCCTTTTATCATTTTCAGGCCAACTCTCCCCCATCTCAGGGCTCCTACACACGCACACACACACACACAACAATCTCACTCCCTCTCTTAAACGCAAACTCAAGCTCATGAATTCTCTCACACACGTGCATGTGCACACACACATACACACACACACACTCAAGCTTATGAATTCTGTTGTCTCCCCCAATACACACAAGTTCAAGGTCATGAATTCTGTCTCTCAGTCTTATGCACACAAACACATTCTCAGACAAACAGGCACACAAGCTTAACCTTGTGAATTCTGTCTCTCTCTCTCTCACACACACACACACACCCAGACACAAACACACACACACACCCCTTGTGACCAACTCTTTGAACCCAAGGCAGAAGGTGGGCATGAGAAAGTAGGCCAGTCTGCAAATTGTCTTGTCAGTGAGGAAGCAACAATCTGGAGCAGAAGGCAACACAAACAAAGCTCTGCGTGCTGTTGCTGCTAATGATTTAGGGCAGTAGGTGTGTCTGCCGCGCTGCCCCCCTGCTTCCAGACCCAGAGCCTGTGACACTGCAGCTGTTACGTCCTCCTCCTACCTCCTCCTGTCTAGCTCTCCCTCTCTGCATCTGTGTTCTCTCCCCTACTCCTGCTGCTGCTGGCCTGAGAAGGAAAGCATGAGGACAGGCAGCACATCTTTTAGGTGTCTGGGTGCCTGGCACTGTGCCACATGTTGGGTACCTCTTATCTCAAAGCCCTCTTTAATCCAACCCCTTCCCTTCACTCTCACCCCAGGTTTTGCTGATAGTTGTATCTGCGGGTTTATCCCCTCATGGGAAACACTCTATTTCTGTACATATTTCAAAAGTCAAGTTCACTCAATTACCAGTCAGTCATCTGTTTAATAAGCATTTTTTGAGATTCATCTCATACAAAACTAGCATTTTCCCTGGAGTCCTGGAAACAAGTCCAGAGGGACCTATCATTCTCGTTTAACCCTGTAAACATTGGTTGAGTAAAGGAATCTTCCCCATCACCCCATATGTACCTATGTAAGAGAATAGGTTAGGACATCCAAACTCATCATCTGCTTGGCCTTGTGTGAAATTTTCCTGTGGAAAGCCCAGACCCCTTCTCGCACTGAGCTCCTCTACTGGGAGGTTCTCCTTTCGGGGCGGAGTCTCAGCTGGCACCAGAGAAACAAATTCTCCAGGATTGCCATTTTTGCTACCCCTGAAAACAAGCCCGCAAGCCTGCTCTGGAGGGAATGACCATGGATCCCTGTTGGAAGCAGGCAGATAGTAACGAAGTAACAAATACAGTAAAGGCGAGGATTCTGGGATGTGTCAAATGTCTCCAGTCGTTGTTCTTGTCACCAGCTCAGTCTTTCTGTGCCTTGACAGTCTCTAGCAGCCTTGCTGTCCTGTTCTGCGTCTCAGGTGGTATTCATGCCTGCTCAGCCCTTGGTCAGAGTCCCACTCTGCTCTGGATCCAGTTGACCCCTCCCCTCCTTGAAGTCCTCCCTGACCTCCATTTTCCCAGGATGAAGCTTGGCAGTTGGACAAAGAAGGATTGTCCCTGCTGGCCCTAAAATATTTCATAGGACACTCTTGGCCAACTCCATCTCTCTAAAGCTCCAATTCTTTATCTATAAAATAGGGGCCCTGACTCATGTCTGTAATCATAGCACCGTGGGAGGCCAAGCGGGGAGAAACACTTGAGCCCAGGAGTTCAAGACCAGCCTGGCAACACAGGGAGACCCTATCTCTACAAAAATAGTTTAAAAAATTAGCCAGGCCTGGTAGCATGCCCCTGTGGTCCTAGCTAATTGGAGGCTGAGGTGAAAGGATCACCTGAGCCCAGGAGTTTGAGGCTTCAGTGAGTTATGATTGCACCACTGCATTCCAGCATGGGCAATAGAGCAAGATTCTGTCTCAAAAAATAAAAAATAAATAGATGACTTAATAGCCTCAAAATGTTGTAGTTAAGAAGGATAAGGCAAATCATGCTCCTAGCACAGCGTTGTCATGTACCAGGTGCTCCATAAAAGTTAGTTCACTCTCTTTATTCCTCACCTGATAGGGCTATCTCCTTAAGCGAGGTTTTGTCCCCCTAACTGTTTAATGGATACTTGTCCTGCAGGATGCTCCATAAAAAAGGATCTCTAACTGCTACCCATCATATTCCTGTCATAAAGGATATTAACACTTTAGGTCCTGAGGAGTCCTGCAGTTTAAATAAATCCATTGAATCCATTGTTTTCTTCATTACCCTTGACAAAATGAGCACATTGTTTGCTTAGAAACACCTACGTAACATACTCTGTGTTTTACAAAGGTTAACTCATTTAATTCTCATGACAGCTCTGTAAGGTGAGATATTATCATTAGCATCTTTTTAAAAGATGATGGAATTATAGCCTATAGCACAGAGCAGTTCAGTCAGTTGCCCAAGGTCACAAAGTTGTTGCAGAGCCAGGATTTGACCACAGTCTGTCTCCAGGATCTAAATTCTTATCCACTGTACTCAGCTGTCTCTCTAGTTTAAATATACACACACACTCACACATATATACATGTGTATGTATATGCTGATTCTGCAACTAAAAAAATAGTAATGCTATTATCTGTGTAATAGCTGTTAATATTCTTAAAAAACATTAATTCCAAAAGGCTCCGGAAAGGCTGCCTGAGACTCTCTCCTGCTCTCATTTATCACCACTTGGTGACTTGGTCCCATCACAGAACCCAGCACCCCTGTCCACCGTCTAAGCTCCCCTGTGGACAGGTGCACTGTTTAGGAATCACTTCTCAAATGTAAAAGCAAAGTACCAGAACCCACAGGATCTTCTTTCCTATTTCTCACTTACTGACACACTTCCCAGCCAACCCCTAAAGGAAGACTTGTCAGCCTGCTGCTGCTGCTTTTTTTTTTTTTTTTTTTTGACAGTCTCACTGTGCCACCCAGGCTGGAGTGCAGTGGCATGATCTTGTCTTACTGCAACCTCCACTTCCCAAGTTCAAGTGATTCTCCTGCCTCAGACTTCCAAGTAGCTGGGATTACAGGCATGCACCACCATGCCCAGCTAATTTTTGTATTTTTAGTAGAGATGGGGTTTCACCATGTTGGCTAGGCCGGTCTTGAACTCCTGACCTCAAGTGATCCACCCACCTCGGCCTCCCAAAGTGCTGGGATTACAGGCGTGAGCCACCGCGCCCAGTCTTCTTCTCCTTTAGTATGATATTCTTTCCTGTATCAGTGGAGTCTGCAGAGAGGGTGCATCTTTTATTTCCCTTTTCCTGAGGAAGAAGATCTCTTCCCTGGAGTTTTTGTTCTAGTCCAGAAATCCTTCAGTGGGTCTTCTTAACATCACACTCATAGTCCCTTATTTGTAAGCAGCAGGAAGTTCTTTTCTAGGTAAAATGAGAAGTTATGTAAGTGTGGAAATCACCAGATATTTAGGTAGCATGTCCCAAGTGCCCAATTCTGTGCTAGGCAAATAGAACCCAGGTACCTTTTGTCTTTTATGGCAGGAGAATGTTCATGAATGAGCAAACAAGCACAGGTGAGTCTTGGGAAAAGGAGTTTGAAATTTCTTCGATTTCAGTACCTCTGATTCTCTGTTTTCCCATTTTCATTCACAACACAAGTTAAAGTCACCTAAAAAGTGTCATTTTATAAAATGTCAGCAAAGCAAGGGACCTTAGAGATCTTCTAGCTCAGGGTTTGTCAAACAGGTTTTCTCTCCAATGCCAGTGTCAAAGGAGTGGAAGTGTTGCTTGAATTGCGGAGGTGACAATTTTAAGATGGCATCTGAGCTTGTAGGGCAAGAGTGTTCTGATCAATGCAGTGATGTATGCCAAGGGACCCATCTTAACTTGGGTTCTTCCTTAGATGTTGGGCTTGAGACGGGGTACTTGTGGAAAATATTTAGTAAGGAGCCTCTCAGAAGGGGAGAGAGACAAGCAGGCTGAAGGCAGAGTAGAAAGTTAAACAAGGATGTGGTCTCAGCTGGGGACCAACCTGGGCCACTGCAGTGTGAATTGAGGCAGGGGGCTAACCTCTCGTACACTGGCGGTTGGTCATTGGCTATGGATGTGGGGATGGGAATGGTTCATACCCCCAGCCTGGTGGCTCTCCTCAGCAGAGGGCTATTCTTGGAAGAAGGGAGCAGCTGTCAGTCATTAGCAGCTGACACTCACAGCAGCTGGGCAGTATGTGCACCAGCCCAGGAAAGGGAGTCTGGGCAGGGTACCAAGAATGTCCACTACTGACACAGAGTGACAGAATGACGGTCCACTGGCTAGGCAGTTAGCATCCTTAAATAGAGCACATCAGCTCATTTACAGGTGAGAAATCTGATGCCCAGAGGGAAACACTCAAGTCAAAATTCCTTTGCGTACCCTCAGGTTCCTCCACAGTTTGGCTCTATGCTTAGTTACCAATCCTCTGCCACCCTCAGAGCATGGCAGACCTGCTAGTCCTGTTGATGCCTTGTTCCCCAGGGATTCTGACACTTCTCCTACCACCTTGCTTTTGGTCATGCTTTTCCTACTCTGGCAGTATGTGAAATATCCTCCCTCACTTTTCTATTGAGCAATTCAAAATACCCTGTAGACCCATTTCATAATATTTGGATAGATACGGCCATCACAGATTGCCTAAAGGGGGTCTTAGCCCCTTTAAAAAGAATCTGAAAGGATTTATATTCCCAGAGCAGGTGATCTGTAGGAAACCATAGATTATCTATAATGCCTGCGCTGCCATTATAGATCTCCTATAAGTACCTACAGAACATTATAGATTTCTTGTAGAATCCCACAGATTGCCTATGGTAATTGTGTCATGTTAAATAGTCTTTCATTCAACTGTCTGTTGAGTGTTTACTATGTTTGGAGAAACCAGGTGAGCAAAACTGACAAGGTCTTTGCCCTTATTCTAAGCATTAAAAAAAGATTCAATATGCAGGAAACGAATACATAATTTCAGATGGTGTTAAGTGCCATTGAGAGTGACTGAGGAAAATATTCAAATTTCATACGTCAAGGAAAGACTTCTCGAGAAGGTAACATCTGAGCTGAGATCTGAACAGTGAGATAGAGTCTTCTCAGGAAGGTCTGAGAAAAGATCCCTCTGGACAGAAGAAACAGGAAATGTACTAGCCCAGAGGAAGGAATGAGCTCAGCATAATTCAGAAGCAAAGGAAATGTCGGGGTGTCCAGGAAGTGGTGAGTGAGCAAATGAGGGAGGGGCCATAGTAAGAACACTGGACAGGTAGTAGGGGTAAAGAAATAAAAGCCACAGTGCCTTCCCTCAGACACACTCCATTCTTATAGGGCGCTTGTAGATAGCAGCAGTTAGTACCCTTACTATTCTAGTAAGACCATCTGTGGGTATTTACAGCACTGTTTCAGTACTTACAGGGGCCCTCACACTCAGCTATGACGATAGTATTTCATTATGAACTTCCTGTAGGAACATGACATGTCATCTCCAGTCATGAGTTGTTAGTGATGACCTGAAGACATGTAGTTCCACTGTAAACCCTTAAGATGCTTTCAGTTGGTAAAGCTTGCTAATTGTGTTTGCAGTATCACTAAGAATTGCTTGGAGACTGTTTTTAAATCCAAGACTGTTCCAAAGAACTTTTTTTTCTTTGACTCAATTCTCTCTCCCTTTTATTGATTCACATGGGAAATTAATCCCAAACAAGTATTTGGTACAAATGACAGCACCTAGCTACAAACATTTCCCCCAGTGTTGTCAGTTAGGATTAGTTACAGTTCCAAGTAGTACGATAATACTGGTTTAAATAAGAGAGAAGTCTGTTTCTCTTTCACAGATAAGTCAGAAGTTGATGGTCCTAGGGTGGATTTGGCAGTGCTACTCTGTGAAGTCCTCAGGAATCCAGGCTCCTTCCAGCTTCCTGCTCTGTCCTTCAGGATGGCTCTTCAGCCATTACATCCACGTTCCAAGTAGCAGATGTAGAAAGAAGAAAAAGCAAGACAGCATGCTAGTTATTTGTTGAAGAAAGCTTCAAGAAAATGTCCGAATATACTTCTGCTAACCTTTGACCAGAACTTAGTCATGTGGACACGAAACAGCAAAGGGGCTGTAAAATACAGTATTTATTCTTGGAGGGCACAGGCCTGGAAGAATATTCTCTTACTAAGAAAGAAGACAGAGGCCGGGCGCAGTGGCTCATGCCTGTAATCCCAGCACTTTGGGAGGCCGAGGCGGGTGGATCATGAGGTCAGGAGATCAAGACCATCCTGGCTAACATGGTGAAACCCTGTCTCTACTAAAAATACAAAAAAATTAGCCAGGCGCGGTGGTGGGTGCCTGTAGTCCCAACTACTCGGGAGCTGAGGCAGGAGAATGGCGTGAACCCGGGAGAGGGAGTTTGCAGTGAGCCGAGACAGCAGCACTGCACTCTAGCCTGGGCGACAGAGCGAGACTCCATCTCAAAAAAAAAAAAAAAAAAAAGAAAGAAAGAAAGAAAGAAGGCAAAAATGGATAATGAGGAGAAATCAACAGCTTTTACAATATCCACTATGGAAACAAAATTCACATTAGTAAAAATGCCCCAAACCAGTGGTCGCTAGCCCTAGGATGTTAAGAAACAGTAAAACTAAATTTACAAAGAGAAGGAGTCCAACATAGCACTGGCAACCTATAATTTTTCCAAGCAAGGATGTGAAAAACAGCTTAAACCTATCACCCACTGTCACAATCATCTCATAAGGAAAGAAGACTGTATCACAAAAGAAGAAAGGACTTACTTACTCCTTACAAATGTTTTAATGGATTAAATTTAGCTTTTGTGGGAGGGAGGAATAAACTTATTTTTTTCATTTCACCACAAAACAGTGAAAGCTTCATCATGGACCAGTATTATTAAGTGGTGCTTCAAACTGAAAGCATTTCTTTAAGACAGTATGACACTTTCTGTTTCTAAAAGCTCCTCCAAGTTGCAATAATAATGACCATTTATCTAGAGCACAAACCATTAACTGATGGACCTTAGGCCAGGTTCTGTTCATAGATGTTGTGTTTGATCTGATCAGTAATTTGGGGTTTGTTTGTTTGTTTTTAACTTTGAATTTGCTGTGAACATTGAAAGCTTAAGAGATTTTACATAAAAAATAATAATCATTCTTGCTTCTTTTGAAAAATGAGAAGTTCTGGCACACCAGGGCCCTCATTTCCACATGGTCACTCCCAGCTGGATGCAGCACAGCAGCAGCTGCCCCTTTCGATGGGCACATACTTGCCAATTCATTACGGGTCCACCTGGACAGCCTCTCCTTTATGCAACATGCCAGGTCCCTGTGGAAACCTGAGTTTGTGACTCCTCATTTCCTGCTACCGATATACAGGTATTTAGATACATACTTCTAAACTTCACATCAACCTGAAAATGAAACACTATTATCCCCTTTCTACTAGAGCAAAGAACAAAGGAGTACTTTGACTTGCCCAGGACTGAAGCTAATAGGTGCCCACCTGGAATTTGAACCCAGGTCTCTCCGACTCCAAGGCCGTTGTGCCTTTCGCTGTACCACCCTAGCTTCCAGCAGGCTTCTGACCCACATCTCTGTCAGCCCTCGCACAGGTAGAATTATTCATGCCATCTGGTTTTTAAGACTTTGTTAGAATTAGCTGAGAAAAGTTTTGAATTTCCTGTTTCTCTTGCAGTATTATTTTAGACTCTTTTTCGTATTTATTTTTGAGGGGGAAAATATCCTGGGGAAGGAATGGTGGTTCAGAGAAGAACATCGCCATCTATCATGCAGACACAGCATGCATTTAAACAGCTCTGAGTACATAAATTGGTTACTTAATCGGCCCTAGCTAATCCATAGAGTGAAGAAACCGAACTACACTATGGGAAACAGCTTTTATACATGGGGTGCACATATCTGACAGAGCCTAGGGTTCTTGGAGCAGCTGCTGAGTGAGGCTCAAGGCCTTCTGACCCTCCCACCTGCTGTAGGCTCTCAGTGCCTCATGGGTAGGTGTTTTCAGATCATGAGGACAAGCTGGATCCTTTCATTAGAGAAGCAATTCTGAAACAGAATGAGAATTTTAAAATGTGTATGTCTTTGAGTTTCTTTTCATTCACAACTGGACTTCTTTACTATAAGCTCAGATAGGGAAAAACATAAAAATAATACTAGCTGCTATATTCACATTACACACATTCCAATTTTCCTTGTAAAAGACTACATACTTATGAAGCATATTTAACTATGACATTATCAACTATTTCCAGATCATTCAATTTGACAAATGTATGCTACTTCCTTCAAATCACCTGAGTTGTGTTGACTGCTGTGTGTCAGGCACGAAGGGGAATAGGTGTGTGGACAGCAATAAGGTACAGTCCTTGCCCTCAAGCCACTCTTAGCCTCATGTAGAAGACACCCATGTACACATACCGTTCATGGTTTCATTCACTGATGCAACAAATCCTTTTTTTAATGCCTCCTATGATCTAAGCACTATTCTAGGAAATAATCCCTATATTTATAAAGTTTACAGTTTACATTCTAGTTGGGGGGTGGGGATGGATTCATTTCCTGTGGTCACTATAGCAAAATACTACAAACTTAGTAGCTCAAAACAATGTGAATTTATTATTTTAAGGTTCTGGAAATCAGAAGTCAGAAATCCATTTCACTGGGCTGAAATTAAGATCTTGGCAGTCCCATTTTCCTTCTGGAGGCTCTAGAATCCACTTTGTTACCTTTTCCAGCTTCTAGGAATGCCTGCACCTGTATTCCTTGACCCGTGGCCTCTTCCTCCATGTTCAAGTCCAGCAGCATAGCATCTTTTCTCTTCCCTGACCCCTGATTCTGTCCTTACATCTTCTCTCTCTGACTCTGATCCTGCATCTCCCTTTAATAAGAACCCTGTAATTATATTGGGCCCACCCAGATAATTCAGAATAGTCTCCCCATCCCAAGAGCACTAATCCAATCATATCTGCAAAGTACGTTTACCATGTAAGGTAACATAATCACAGGTTTTGGGGATTAGGACAGGATGTGGACATCTTTGAGACCATTATTTACCCTACTACAGGGACAGACAGTGAACAACTAAATTTACACACACACACGCACACACATGCACACACACACACACACACACACAAGATCATGCCAAACATGGATATGTGAAAATGGCATAGGATGAAGGCAGAGAGCAAGACAGGAGCTATTTTAGGTAAGAGATGGGTCTTAGGAGGTGACATTTATAGCTGAATGAGTGAGGGAATGAGTCCTGGGGATGTCTGTGTGTGGGTGCTGGAAGCTGAGTAATCAGTAGGAACAGCAATGCACAGAATCTGAGACATGAATGAGCTTAATGTGTTGAAAAAGCAAAGAGGCCAGTGACACTACATAACAGTTGGCAGGGGGGTGGGTCTTATGAAGGAAGTCAGGTATGGAATTTCGAGTTTATTCTAAGTGCAATAGGAAGACCTTAGAGGATTTATAGCAGAGGAATGAGGTATCTTGATTAATATTTTCAAAAATACTATTCCTTTAGGAGATCTGATTGCTGGGGTGGCAAGAGTAGATGTAGCAAGGCCTGCTAGGGGCTGCTGCCAGATGGCCCAGGACAGGCATGATGCAGGCTTGAGTTTGGGTGATATCAGTGGAGGTGGAGAGAGGTGCTCAGAGTCAAAGTACACCAGGAAAGGTTAACTTGCTTGGCTTGCCAGTGTACTAGCTGTGGAGGCTTGGATGAAAGGGTGAATTCAGAGGACATCTAGGCATGGGATCTAAACGGCACTATGAGATAGGTGTCCTGCAACACTAGAGAGATGGCTAAGCCACAGTTGCAAATTTTATCAATAACTTCATTGTAGACAAGTAGACTTTGTTCACTACAATAATAACTATTCAGATTTATGCATATAATCAGCCTTTGCCTTATGTTTTTATTCTTTTCCCTCAAAAGAAATGCTGGTACTGTGGAATCTGTGATGCAGGAGGTGATAGAACAATAAACATTCTGGGAGTGTCCTCAGGAAAGAGATCTGTTTCAGCTGAGTTACCTAAAAGGGAAGGCAGGAACCTTGCTGCTGAGCAGGGCAGTGGCTCTCACCTGTTAACTCTTGGAGTCTACCTGGAGACCTGCCTATGCCGGGTGCCTGAGTTTGGGAGGCCTGAAACTGGCACACTTGGAAAGATAAATGCAAAAAAAAAAAAAAAAAAGCCACTGCACGCCAACAGTGAGATAGCTGAGCAGAATTGTCAACAACAGTGTACTGATTTATTCTAGTGCAAAAGCAAGCATGAGTGAAACTTGAGGGTTGCTAGATAAGCATCTGCCTTCCAGGAGTTTATAGTCCAAAAGAAAGATAAGCATCCAGAAGTAACTAGAACCCTGGGTGCAAAGTTAAGCACTCAAGGCACTGACTTCTGAAAATTAAATGAAAAATCAATCAGATCACATGCAAGACTGATATGGTTTGGCTGTGTCCCCGCCCAAATCTCATCTTGAGTTGTAATCCCCAGATGTTGAGAAACGGACCTCATGGGAAGTGAATTGATCATGGGGGTGGTTTCCCTCATGCTCTTCTCATGATAGTGAGTGAGTTCTCATAAGACCTAATGGTTTTATAAGCGTCTGGCATTTCCCTTGCTGGCATTCACTCTCTCTCCTGCTGCCCTGTGAAGAGGTGCCTTCTGCCATGATTGTAAGTTTCCTGAGGCCTTCCCAGCCATGTGAGTCAATTAAACCTCTTTTCTTTATAAATTACCCAGTCTTGGGTATTTGTTATTAGAAGGGTGAGAATGAACTAATACAAAGGCAGTGTAGTTTTGGTTAAAAGCCTAGGTTCTGGAACCAGACTGCTGGGGTCAAACAAAACTTTGCCAGGTGACATTGGGCAAGTCCCATAATCACTCTGGGCCTCTTATTTCCTTATCTGTACATCAAGACTGACAATCATGCCTTTCTCATGGGCTTAAAATGAATCAACATGTGTACAGTGCTCAGATTAGTGCCTGGTTCATGGTGAGGCTCAGCAAGAATCAATGATTATTAATGCATATCAGAAGCTTTTGACTTAAAAGCTCAATAACTGGGACCTACTTTTACTATTATATAGTGGAAAAGATGAATTCACTCCACTTCAACAGGAGTGTCTTACAAGCCTACTGTGTGCTCAGAATGAAAAGATAACTGGCAAGTCTTGAACTGCAGAGTCTTCAGTATGGAAGAGAGGACAGATCAACAGCAACACAGTTCAATGAGTGGAAAGAGGGCTCCAAGAATCAAGGGCTGAGGAGCCACAGGGAGCAGCATGCCAGCAGAGGATTCTAGTCCAGTACCCGGCAATTAGTGGGTGCCCAGGAAATATGCATCCCTGCAGCCATTTCCAAATAGTGCTAACTTCGTACCTGTCCAGAAGAATTCTATTTGTCGAGTATGTTATTTTTTAAATACAACAGGACTGTCTCAAACAAAGTGATCATAAATTTGAGATGTATGCTAAAGTGACTAAACAAGATGTTTTAACATCTGGAGTGTAAAAAAAATGGTGGGGTCTGTGTTTCTAAGTTTATTTTTTGACATAATGCTGAAACTTTAGCAAATATATTGTTTGTTAAAATAGCATTTTAGATTTATTTTGCCTTTTAGAATTTTCAAAGTGCCTTCATGTTACTTTATTTAATCTTAAAAAACCAGCGACTATCTATCCTGAATTTTCAGATGAGGAAACCGGGATCCATTTATGTGGCCAATGGCAAGTAAAGGAAAATGCATGAAGGCATACCAACTAATGAACTGCTCTTTTTTCCCTTTTAGATTGTAAAGTTGTCCCTGGGTATTCGTGGGGGAATTCGTCTCGAGGATCCCCCTCAAATACAAAAACCCACTGATGCTCAAAGTCCTTATATAAAATGGTATAATATTTGCATATAACATACACACATCCTCCTGTATCTTTTAAATTATCTCTAGATTACTTATAATACCTAACACAATGTCAACGCTACACGAATAGTTGTACTATATTGCTTAGGGAATAATAATGAGAAAAAAAGTCTGCATATGTTCAGTACACATACGATCATCAATTTTACTTTCTGAATATTTTTGATCCGCAGTTGGTTGTATCCACAGATGCAGAACCCACAGATACGGAGAACTGACTGTATTTATTATTTCAGGAAAGCTTCCAGCCTCTAGTCCAGGGATTACAAATGCAAATGCCTATTGGGGCCATGCTGAGAACAAAAGGTATAAATAGGTTTGATATAAGGTCAGAGGGAGTTGGACCCGGCTAAACTGGGGAGTGTAAGGCACACCCAGGCATTCAAATTGCTATTTATATTTATAACTTGCATTTTTATGATACATAATTTTATCAAGGCAGAATTAAGCTCAATACCGCATGTCTTCACAATAACTTAAAGATGGTGAGAGTGAACGATTTCCCCTATTTGACAGATAAGGAAACCGAGGCAGAGTGAATTGACTTCAAGTTAATAGAAGAGCTTAACCACCAGCCACTAGAATGTAGGGGTTAAGAACATATGTTTTGGAACCTGGTAGATTTAATATAGAAACTTGGATTTGTAGCTTGCTGAGCTCTGAGTTGTTGAGAAGTTACTTAACCTTACTGAGCCTTAATTTCCCTGTCTGTGTAATGGGAATAATAATGTTCACCTGAAAAGTTGTTTGAATACTAAGTGTGATCCCACACATAAGTATTTAGCCCAACATCTGGCATATCACAAGTATTTAATACTAATTTGTTTGATGGTATTAATTAAAAGGAGAATAACTCAAGTCTATTGATAAGTGCAGGTTTTTACTCACGGCCTGCCAAGCTTTCAGATATGAGGATTCAAAAGCTTTACTGGAAATTCTTTTAGAATTATACCAGTGATGAAGCACAAGCAAGGGGGCAATGCATTTCTCTCTCTCTCTCTCTCTTTTTTTAATATCTTCACAGCATGTTGGTTGTATGACCAGAGAACAGATATAAATTTACACATGGGAGAGAAAATCATAGATTGTCAGAGCTGGAGGTGATCTTACTTTTCAGCTGAAGACACTTACCCAGAGAGGTTACATTGTGTATGTGTGTGTCTGTGTGTGCATTCAATTTTAATATATTTATAGTCTGTTTTGTATATATTTTATATTACATGTCATATGTGTATGTATATATATGTGTGTGTATACACATATGTACAGTCATATCTCCCAGGGGGTGGGAGGTGTAGCCTAGAGTATAGAGATTTTTTCTGGGTATGTGCATGCCTGGGTCTTCAGGTATTATAAGCTGCATATGGGAGTAGAGGAAGAAGAAAGGGCGTTGGCTGTCCAGCAGTTATTTTTGCCCCATGTTGCATGCTCTGTCTTACCTGGCAAATCTGAATGCTGACCCCTCTGTGGTTCTGCCTGGCTGGTGACTATGCTTGTCAGCTGAATCTACTCCACTCCTGACAGTCATTACTGGACTGTTTAATCCAGGACCTATCACCCATCTGCCTTCAGACTTTCTTAAATGTGCTTACTTCTCTCATGTGCTGATGGGCCCTCTCTCATTTATTATCCCCTCTGTCTTTTTGTTAGTTCTTTAATTTTAATGACATCATGGGAGAAAGAGGAAATAAATGTGTGTGATGCAACTAAATTCTTTACATAAACAAGATTCATTTGAGTGGTAAAATAAAATTTGAACTGGGCGGTGTTTAACCCAAACCAGAAAGACCTAAAGTAGGAGCAATGCAATGGTCAGGCGAGAGATGATGAGGCTGACATAGGGCACAGGCTTTTGTATAGGATGCAAAGGAATACATTTTAGGTATGTTTCCAAGATCAAATTCAAAAGATTTCACATGACTGGGTAGACAATAACTCTTAAAAATAGGGAAGGCAGAAGGAAAAACAAGTTTGAAGAGAAGATAAAGAATTCAGTTTGGTCATGTTAAGTCACATTGGGCATTACAGAAAACTAATGTTTGCACAAAAAAGATGAAGGCGTCATACAGAAAAATGTGTGACTGGTAGGGAATGTAATTGGAGAAACGTTCACATTAGTAACTTTTAAACCTTTTGGACTATGACCCAGTATATGCACACATGCAACCAAACACAGCTCAAAAAATCACACCTTTAACTTTGATAGACTATGATATTTTCTGTTATTCAATTTAATTTAAATAAAATTCCAGTCAAAACTCACCAAACTGATTTAATGATTCACCAACACATCATGAAAAATATTGGATTAGGCTGGGCATGGTGGCTCACACACCTGTAATCCCAGCACATTGGGAGGCCGAGGCAGATGGATCATCTGAGGTCAGGAGTTCGAGACCAGCCTGGCCAAAATGGTGACACCCCGTCTCTATTAAAAATACCAAAATATCAGCCAGACGTGGTGGCAGGCACCTGTAATCCCAGCTACTTGGAGGCTGAGTCAGGAGACTTGAACCCTGGAGGTGGAGGTTGCAGTGAGCCGAGATCGTACCATTGCACTCTAGCCTGGGCAACAAGGGTGAAAATCTGTCTCTCTCTCTCTCTATATATATATGTATAAAATATATTTATATATAATATATAGAATATATTTATATAATATATATTTCATATAAATATATTTCATACATATATATTTCATATATATATTTCATACATAATATATATTTCATATATATTTCATACATAATATATATTTCATATATAATATATTTCATATATTATATATTTCATATATATAATATATAATATATTATATTATATATTTCATATATAATATATAATATATTATATTATATATTTCATATATATTATATATTATATATATTATATTATATATTATATATTTCATATGTATTATATATTTCATATGTATTATATATTTCATATATATTATATATGAAATATTTTATATATGAAATATATATCATATATATAATATAATGTGTATATATATATATATAGGATTAGAATGGATGACTGACTGAAGAACTTTAGATAAGAATGCAAATCGCTCTTTGAGGATGATGCGGTCGCAAGTGGTGTGGGGCTATCATCCGCCGACTCCTGCTCCTGGCTCACCACTGTTCACTCTCACTGAGGAACAAGTTGATCAGGAAGCCACACAGCTTCCATGACTTTTAAAAATACCGGAAAAACACTCATGGAGCCGGAGGTGGCAATTCACCAAATTTGCATCACTTTAAGGAGCTGCAGTGTAAAATCCCAGGAGATGGTATGTGCTGACTTGATCAGAGGAGCAAAGGAAAAGAATATCAAAGGGAAAGGACCAGTTTGAATACCTACCAAGATTCTGAGAATCACTACAAGAAAAACTCCTTGTGGTGAAGGTTCTAAGACATGAGGTCGTTTCCAGATGAGAATCCACAAGTGACTCTTTGACTTGCACAGTCCTTCTGAGATTGTTAAGCAGATTACTTCCATCAGTACTGAGCTAGGAGTTGAAGTGGAAGTCACCGTTGCAGATGCTTAAGTCAACTGTCTTAATAAATTGATTACTGGTTGTTTAAAATAAAAAAAAAAATGCAAATCATGAATATGGTACCCAAGGCCATCAATCAGGATTTCAGTTTAGGGATTAAACTGTGTTTAGAAGAAAACATCAGTGTTCAGTGATACTAACTGAATAAAGAATTCAGTTGTTCTATTGTTCTTAAGATCATAAGAAACCTGTTGGATCTAGGCAACATGGAAGGGAATTCTCATAAAAACACAGTCCATGGCAAGAAGTGGAACTTGCACTTGGAGTAAAGAAAATGTGTCAGTAAAGCCTTTTTCACTTAAAATAGGGCTGCAGTATTTTCTCTCTGGTGCCAACCCTTGAAACACTGCTGTAAAGGATGGGTCGCACATTTGGTTTCTTCCTATAGTTTACTGTATGTCCTTGAAGGGCCAGACCCTTGACAGTTTCTGGGTAAATAGCCATGTGAAACAGAGGCCTCCGATCTACTCTCAACATGATTTGCATTTTATTTAACACTCATTTACTGAACACCTGCTACAAGCAACACCAACACCCTAGAAGAATGTGGAGATAAATGATAATTCCTGCCCTCCAGACTCTCACAATCTACTGGGAAGACAGAAATAAATAACTCTGGGAGCAGGCCAACGGTGATAGATGCTCCACTAGGCATGGAAAGACAGTAGGAAATAGGAGGAAAGAAAATTATTTCAACTCAGGATTCATTGTCTCCTTCTCATTTTAAAGTTCTTCTTCCAAACATCATCTCCCCAGAGTGGTTCGTGCACCCCACTTCCCAAATAACTTTATTTCATTAGCCTGTTTTATATTCTTTATGGCAATTCTTATTATTAAGGATTATCTTTATTATTTATTTTTATAATCACATGTTATTTGGAAAGAGTTGTCCAAGCCACCAAGATACAAGAGATAGGATATTTCAAGTAAGGTCTCAGGTCTGGGTAACAACTAGCAAGGAAAATATGTAAAAATTGTTTACACAACTCCTATGGGTCTCACCAACACTAAGAACATGCAACAGTTCAGTTATCACAGGTTGGAACAGGATTTTTGAAGAGGGACTTCTTTGCTGAGAATGGAGTCCCATTTCCTCCATGCGGAGGAGTGGCCATGTCTCCCTGACACACGAACCCTAGTGAAGCGGCTTCAAGTGAACACCTGGAGAGGTTGAATATGTTGGAGTTCTCTAATGTGACATCACAAGCTACCCCAAAACTTAGTGACTGTATTTATTATTGCCATATTTTCTGGCTCTGTGGGTCCGTAGTTTATAAAAGTACATCGGAGAAGTATCTGCTACAAAATGATGTCTGAGATCTCCGCTGGAATAACTTAAACAGCTGGGAACTAACCAGGAAACTGTGACTGTCTCTGTTTCCCCTGTTCTTTCATGTGGCTAGCATGGGCTTCCTCTTTTTTTTTTTTTCTTTTATAATAAAACAAGCAATAAATTTCAAAACCTGTTAGTTTTCTACATAATTTTAAAGGTGATACAGCACCTTCACCTACATAATCTCATGGAGTAAACACAGCAGCACAGATAACTTATTTTCGGTTTCACAAATGAGGATGTTGAAGCTCAGTGTGGCTAGAAGCAACTTGCATCAGGTTTTGGAGCCTAGACTTGAACCAGCTTTTTGACTCCACTTCCAGTGTTCACTTCAAGCCTTCTCACTGGCATTTGTGCATTCCACAAACACCACCTCCCATCAGACACACTGAAGTCTTATGGAGTCATACCCATTGAGGTGACAGGAAGCAGCAGCGCATGGCTTCTTCAGGGCAGTGGAGGCCCCCAGCTCCCCAGGGAAACGCCAGCATGTGCTGACCTTGAGAAAATTATGGCTGCAGCTAGAGAAACAGGTATCAGCATTCATAGAGGGATTTGGGAATGAGAAGTGTGGTAACGGTCGGGTTTAATACTGTGTGCACACTTCTGATGAATATGCAAATGTGGCTGGTACCAGAAGCAGGAGGCGAATAGCATTTACTAAACAGCAGTGCTAAACCACTTTGAAAGGGGTGTGTCAGAAGCATGGCAATGAAATTAATCCTCTTCACCTGTGAATTTTCAGGGCCTTTGGGTACCATCCAAAAACATCTGACTTGAGTTTGCTTTGCTTCGAGCCTCTTGTGTAAACTTGATCTTAATGGAGAATGAAGCTTCAGAAACTGATACAAAATAGGAAGGGGTAAAAGGCACAACTATAAATTTGCCCAATTAAAGGACTGCAGGATCAGGGCACTTCGGTTGTGCCTGCCCACCTGGGATGATGGTTGTGGGACACCTTAATGCCTGATGTGGTCCCCGCTCAATTGATTTATCAAACAGGAAGACTGATAATTGTTAGATGGTCAGAGTGATGAGATCAGGCTTCACGCTATCTGACAGAAGAGCTGTAGATAGAAGGCACTGAGTTTAAGTGTTCAAGGGAGAGTTGTCTCTTCCGGGCTATAGGAAAATAAAGACCGCCTGCCAGAAAAGAACTCTAGACCAGATCTCAAAATAAAGATGAATAGAGAGGATCCCTTACTGACAGGCACTGTGCCACCTACAGGGTACAGAAATGAGTAAGTCTCATGCCTGTAATCCCAGCACTTTGGGAGGCTGAGGCAGGCGGATCACCTAAGGTCGGGAGTTCGCGACCAGCCTGACCAACATGGAGAAACCCCCCTCTCTACTAAAAATACAAAATTAACCAGGCGTGGTGGTGCATGCCTGTAATCCTAGCTGCCCCGTAGGCTGAGGCAGGAGACTCGCTTGAACCCAGGAGGCGGAAGTTGCAGTGAGCCGAGATCGTGCCATTGCACTCCAGCCTGGGCTATTCAGAAGATGTTCACCCTCTCTGTGGGGAGTCCCTCATTTATTCACATGTAGTTTGTGGTGATCATTTGCTATATGGGGCCACCTAGCACTCATGCCCCCTCTATTTGGAAATAGCACCCCAAGTTCCTTTTTCCCCTTGGGAGCAGTCAGAAGGACTAACGTTGAAGATGCTCTGCCCTCAGTGCTCTGGGTGGCTGACCCAGACCCCACTCCCCTCCACACACACACAGCATTCAAATCTAGAATGCTCTATAGCACTGATGGGAAGACATTGGAAAGGATTCCTCTAAATTTGGTCTATCAGTTCTTGCCTCTTAGGTACCTTAATCTGTCCTAGCTTTCATTTTTCTATAAGCCTGGTCCTGCAGCCTCATTGCCAAACTTCTAACTACCTGGTCTTTTCCCAGTAAGTTCGTGTTTCCATTTAAGCTAACCAAAATCCATTTCTGTTGCTTGCAGCTATGCAATCCTAACATACTCACCCTCATCCTTTCATTAACTCTCCTTCACCAAGAAACATTTTTCCAAGCAGGGTTAGGATGACCTCCTTAGGAAGCTCAACACCTAGGAGGAAAATGAGTCAGTGACTCATCGTATACCAGAGGATCTGGGCTGAAATCAGGACAAGAACAGAGAAATATTATGGGAACAATATCAAGGAAACTGAACTCTCTTGTGAATGTGAGAAAACTTCACAAGGATCATCGTATCTATCCTACCTTTTAAAGGGTGAGCATAGGTATGCCAGATACAGAAATGTGGAAAGTGCTTAGGCAAGGGAAATCATAGACATAAAAGCTAGGAAGTATTACTTGAGCACAGATTAGGAGATTTATGGAAGAAAAGATGATAAAGGAAAATAATATTTATACAGCAATCAAAAGTAGAAACAATACTATTTACCCTATTTTTTTATGCAATGAATTTTGAGTCTCAAAATGTTAAAAGACTTTCCCCAAATTACACAGCTATAAAGCTATACGAGACTTCTAATCCTATCTCCTACACACCTCAGAGCATTTCTGTAAGAATCAAATGGAATCAGGCCCATTTGTTCTCATGTCTGTCTTCCTGTCTAAACTGGATCAATCCTCATCATGAAAGATGATGACACATGGTTCATTTTCTTTTCTCTTTTTAAACCCTGGAAATTAGCACAGTGCCTTGTACACACACACACACACAAAAATAGTGTGTTTGTTGAATTAATTAACAAATACTTATCAATAAGAAAAACAACAAATAACATTTGGAGAGCTTGTAATAATTAACTTGGTCTCATGGTGAGTCATCAGTCCTATAAAGTGCTTGTAGACAGAATGATCTTACTTTCCCAAAGTACCTACCATGGATAGCAAAATATGTCTCATTATTAACATCCTCATTTTTCATTTTTTTAACTAATTAATTATTTTGAAAAGGAGTCTTGCTCTGTCGCCCAGGCTGGAGTGCAGTCTCCAGCTGGAGACTCCAGTCTGGAGGCGCAATCTCAGCTCACTGCAACCTCTGCCTCCCAGGTTCAAGCAATTCTCATACCTCAGCCTCCCAAGTAGCTGGGATTACAGCTACCACCATGCCTGGCTAATTTTGTATTTTTAGTAGAAAGGGGTTTCGACATGTTGGCCAGGCTGGTCTTGAACTCCTGGCCTCAAGTGATCTGCCTGCCTTGGCCTCCCAAAGTGCAGGGATTACAGGTGAGAGCCACTCACCTGACCCCTATTTTTCAAATAAAGAAGCTGAAGCTTAGAAATTTCAGAAGTGTAAATGCTAGCTCAATTATGGAGATCTGGAAAGGCAGTCTGTGGAGTCTGGATTGACTCTCTCGGGAAGTATAGAGACCCTAAAGGTGGATGAACTGATAGCCTCCCACCCCATCAAAATACAAGGCATAAACATGTATGCAGTGTTTTTTATCTTATAATATCGGCAAATTGAAAAATTGAGTCTCTCTGCATGGAAAAGGAAAAATAGCACTAGGCATCATTTAAAAAAAAACTCTCTTTTTAATTAAAATTAAATGTCCACTGTAAGAAAAAAACAAGTGGTGAGCAACAAATACCCACAGCCTTGTTTAACCACCTGTGATGAATTATAATTAGGATTTGAAAATTATTGAACTTTTTTCCCCCTGTTCACCTTGGCGCTCTGAAGGTGAATTTCCAAGAGTGCAGGAGGAATGAATATTAAAAAGTTTGTTTTATACTTGAATGCCAGAGCTCCCATCTCATTTTTCCATTAAAGCTCAACTTTTGAAATTTTTCGCTGCTTTGCAATAATTACATCTTCAGGCTGACAACTCATTACATGACAATGCTTATGCTAATTCAATTCTATAGGCGCTAGGAAAGGAAGGCACTGGCTTTCAGTGACTGGGATTTAGAAAGGGGCTTCCTCTCTGTGGTTCAAAGAGGCCCTGCCTTAACCCATCCCGACCCCCCAGGGCTCTAAGCATTTTGCATTGACAAGGCTGGATTCTGGTAGTTTCCTGACCCACAAGCAGCATTGGCTATGGTACCCTTGCTCCCAGGCACCTGGTAGCTGGTTGATTTTATTTTAAGTCCTGCTTTGTTCTAGAAAGGCTGGAAATGAAATTATTTGTGTAAAGCTTTCCGTCTCAACAATGGGACAAGCCCATTTGTCTTGCTCGCCCTGGAGTGGTGAGATTTTTTATTTTTCTCTAGACTGTTATTGTTATTCTGATCGATTCCATTTACAGCTATTATTTGAGTTCCTACTCTGTACCAAGCCTTGGAATGTGTGAGCGAGATGATGGTGAACAAGACCCCAGATGTAGCTCCTGTCTGCACTGAGCTTGCATCCTGTTGGGGGATGCAGACATGGCAAAAGAGTAGACAATGGCACAACACAGTGAGTTGCTCCCCAGTCTAGTAGGATCACTAAGGGGGCACAGAGACATGGCCTGGTGATGGGGTGAGGTGGGGCAGGACTTCCTCGAGAAGGTATCAAATGTGAGACCTGATCTGAGACCCGAAAAATGAGCTTTAGAGGGCCAGAGGACATGAGGTGTTGAGGAAATGGAGAAAGAGAATTAGCAAACACTCCTGGCAAAGCACCAGTCCAAAGTGAAGACAGAACAGTGGAGCTTAGAAAGCTGGAAATTTCTTTGCAAAGCTGGAGAGCGGAATGGAGTGTCAGGAGGAGCTATCTGAGCAATGAGGCTGGGAGAGTAGAGTGCAGATTACAAAGGGCTACAGGCACCGGGCTGGGGACCTCAGGCTATGTGCCTCCTCAGGGCTATGTACAGCCTGTTACCAAAAGTTTTAAACTGGGGAATGAGTGACTTTGCTTAAAACCCTTGAAATGCCCCATGACCAGGCAAGCACCTGCTCTCCAGGTGTTCTACATATATTATCATACTGGATCATCACACCCAACTGTCAGTAAGTACGATTATCTCCATTTTACATTTTAGAAAACTGAGGCTCAGCAGTATTTTATAACTTACTCGAGCTCCCGCTGCTGCTTGTCAGTGACAGAGTCGATTTGGTCCCACGTGGGGAGAGCTGTGGAATTCCAAGCCCAGACCCTGCATTATAACGGCTATTTCCAGCACTTCTGGAGAGGATGCCAAATGCATTCATCAGCTTTCTGAGATTCCTTAGGGAAGGGAGAGTGGAGTGTGTAGCCCTGCTTTGTGCTTTTTTTCTCTAACAGAGGGTTGTGAGAGAGAGAGCCCTGTTGGGCATAAGGAAATATGTTTTTAGTACAGGTTCTGCCACTTGCTCATAGGTCATTTCACTTTAGCTTGGTTTTTCAATTATAGAAAAAAATTATTAAGCTTCATTCCTAGAAAAAAAAAAAAAAGAAGAAGCTCAAATCAACCGGTAAGCATCAGCTCTAATAATGAAGGCTTTAAAATGCAACCAACCCTCACTTTTAGCAGGTATGAATTCTATGGTGGGTCTTGGTGGCTGGTAGAATTTAGAAGGCTAGAGGGGTGCAGAAAAAAAATAAAAACATGCCTGGAGGGACTCAGGAGAAAGGCTTAAGGTTGTGTTAATATATAAGGGAGTTGAGAGTCTTGGCAGAAACCAAATGGCTGTCAGGAACCTGGAAGGGGGAATCTGAGACCTCATGAAATGCTCAGCAAGAGTCTTGGCAGGAATTGGTGAAGCTGACCTTCGATCATATCAGCTCCTAAAGGCTGCTGAGCCCCTGGATGTAAACCTGCTCTGTTGCAGTGTCCTGCACCAACTGGCCACTCGATCTTGATTTTTTTCCCCTCATGTGGACTGGGGTGACAGAAATAAGACTGTCTCTCGGAAGCTTTCTCTGATTGCCATGCTCAGGCTAGTAAGTTGTCTTCTGAGCTGCCCCTGTCACTGCCCATACAGCCAGCCCACCAGCCTCCCTGCTAGATGGCATCTCCTTGGGAGGGTGTCTTTTCCTTTCTGTATTCCCAGCACAGTGCCCAGTATGGATTATATGAAAATCATAAGATCTGACACTTGCTGCTTGCTTTCTCCCTTGCTGAGTAGGCCAGAGACTATGCTAAGAGCTTTATATAGGGTATGTCATTTAACTGTTTAAATACACCCACAAGACAGGTTCTAGTGTCATTTCTATTTTATAAGGAGGAAACTGAGGCTCAGAGAAATTAAGTAATTTGCCAAGGGGCACACAGCAAAGGAGTAACGGAGTCAGGATTATCTGTGGTCTGTGCATGGGCAGCATCACCAGGGAGCTTATTTAAAATGTGGATACCGGCTGGGCGCCGTGGCTCACGCCTGTAATCCCAGCACTTTGGGAGGCCGAGGCGGGTGGATCACGAGGTCAGGAGATCGAGACCATCCTGGCTAACATGGTGAAACCTCGTCTTTACTAAAAATACAAAAAATTAGCCAGGCGTGGTGGCGGGCACCTGTAGTCCCTGCTACTCGGGAGGCTGAGGCAGGGGAATGGCGTAAACCTGGGAGGTGGAGCTTGCAGTGAGCCAAGATCGTGCCACTGCACTGCAGCCTGGGTGACAAAGCGAGACTCCGTCTCAAAATAAAGAAATAAATAAAAATAAAAATAAACTAAAAAATAAATAAAAATGTGGATACATACCCAAGGTCTAATGAATCAGAAAATACATTTTTAAAAATCTCTAGGTGGCTTGTATGCATATTTTAAAGTTTAAGATGTGCCATTCAGGAGACTTAAAAAAATTAGTTTGCTGAATGAACAAATAATCTAAGTCTATGTCCTGGGTTCATGGCTTACTTACTCTATGGTTATGGGAAAATGGCTTTGCTAAGTCTCTTTTTTCTTCTCTGTATTAAAGAAAAAATTAGCTGTGAGGACCCAATGAGATCATGCCTGAAAAGGCTGGCCCATTCTAAGGGTGCAGTAGAAGTTACCTGTTATTGTTAGCTATTCATCTCTCAGAACCTGACTTAGCTCATAAAATGTACCTTGCAGGTGTTGGACTAAATAAAGGATCTCTGATTCTAACTTCGTAGCCTTGTGGGCCCAGAGAATCTTAAGATGGTACCATTAGGCACCATAGTTTAGAAATGTGTTACTTTGTGCTCATTAGTTTTTTTCTCCCACACTCACTGTTGTATCAAACTGCAGACAAAGCATTTTGCCTTGTCCGTTTCTTCCCAGTGCTACACAGCTAGGAAGGGAATTTTTCCCCTGGTTGACTCTTGCTGTCCTTGTTCACAGCTCTGACTCCTGCTCTCCCATTTTTCTGCAAGAGATTTCAGAAAGAAGGGCATGTTGATTTGCTGTATGGCTTCTTGATTAGATGGCAGATTTGTAACCAGGGTGGATGTGACAATCAGGCAGGCTTTGATTAGGCCTTTCTGATATGTAAATCCAGGTGGATAAGATAAGTGGCGTTAGGCTGAGGCTGGCAACAAAGGTAGGAAGAAATCCCAGGTGACTGGAATTAAAGAACTGTCTGAGCTGAGCGGGGGTGTTGGTGCGAATGATGTGAATTTCAAAGGGCCTGGGATAAACACTCACTTTCAGATGGGCTAATTTATGCAGGAAGTCATTTGAGAAACCAATTCTCTCATCCCAGAGAGTTCATAGAAGCCAGCAAAAAAATGGTTAGGCACTGGAATGTAAACATTGGTAATTAGTAATTAATGGGCACACCTACAAGGAAGGCATATGCCAAATTAAATTGATTGGTTGAATCATTCATTGATTCATTAAATAGTGTATGTAATTTTTGAGCTCCTATTCTATCCACGCGCTGTGTTTGGTGCTGGAGATTCAGAGATAAATAGGAGTAGATTCAGCCTTTTAAGAGCCCACAAAGGAAGGGGATGGAATATGGCTGAAACATAATAATATTGTTGTATCCTTTCTTCATTTTTTTCTTCCTTCTTTCAATTCTTGCTCTAGGTGAGGCACTGGCTGGGCTGGAGGATACATGGGGAGGAAGACAGACCACATCCCAGTCCACCCAGGACTCCTACTCCTACACTGCTCTAGCCCCAGGGCTTCAGACAGTAAGCACCTGGCAGGCATGTAATCGGCTCTTTAAAAAAAAAAATCCATAAATGGATGCATAAATAGAGACAGCCATTAAACACATAATAATATGAGTAATTAATTATTAATTGTGCTAAGTGCTGGGGAAGACAATCTTATGTTCAGGTGCTCGGAGTAAACAAAATGGTGACTTAATCCCCCATCAGGGATACAGAGAAATCTTCCCCAGGGAAGTGACAATTAAAATAACACCTGAAGGTGAGTAGCAGTTAGCCAGGCCATGTTTAGGAATTTGGAATCAATGCCAAACCTCCTAACAATAACTACACATGGCAGAGCTCCACCACAGCTCAACAGGGGACTTTCAGAAGAATGTTCGAATGGTGTCCCTTGGAGTTCTGCAAGGAGAGGGTCTATGCCTCCCAGTGATACCTAGAGAATCAGCCTAACAAAGGCAGAACAAGAACCTGTTAAAGGACAGTGAAAGTGGAGGGCTTGCATAGAAAAAAACAACAAATAAAACCAAGGTGTATAGTCTGTTCTTACATCACTATAAAGAAATGTCTGAGACTGAGTAATTTATAAAGAAGAGAGGCTTAATTGGCTCACAATTCTGCAGGCTATACAGGAAGCATAGCAGCATCTGCTTGGCTTCTGGGGAGGTCTCAGGAAACCTACAATCATGGCGGAAGGGGAAGGGGAAGCAGGCACATCCTACATGGCCGGAGGAGGAGGAAGAGAGGTGGGGAGGTGCTACACATTTCTAAACAACCTGATGTCATGATAACTCACTCATTCACTATCATGAGAATAGCACTGAGGGGATGGTTTCAAGAGAAACCACACCAGGGATCAAATCACCTCTCACCAGACCCCACCTCCAACACTGGGATTATTATTCTATATGGGATTTGGGGGGTGGGGGGGGAACACAGATCTGAACCATATCACAAGGCATGGATTTGGAGCCAGAGGAACCTGCAATTGAGTCTTAGGACAGCCACTTGCTCATTTCAAGTGTGACCCTGGACAAATTATCCCACATCTCTAAGCCTCCCAGAGAAGGAGAGTATACATGATTCTTTGTGGACAAGGCTACGTCTACTGCTTACCACATAGCAGGTGCTCACTTTCCTTTCTTTGCTCTAAATTAACCTAGAGATAGCCCCAGGACCAGGGTTAGATTGAGAGATTTGGGGGCCCAAAAAAGCTGATATCCTTTCACAATGACTTTTCTAAAATAATTATTCTAAATAATTATTCCAAAAAATTTAGAATCTAAAAAAAATCTAGAATCTAAAAAAAATTTAGAATCTAAAAAAAATTTTAGAATCTAAATAATTATTCTAAATAATTCTAAAAAATCTAAAATAATTAATGGAAGTGGGTAGAAACAGATTTTTTTAAAAACAACAACTATATTCAAAATACAGTTTTTCAGTATTTACTTAATGGAAGTGGGTAGAAATGGATTTTTAAAAATCAACAGCTATATTCAACATGTAATTCTAACACTTGGAATTGTGTTAGAATTGTGATTTTTCCGGCCAGGTGTGGTGGCTCACGCCTGTAATCCCAGCACTTTGGGAGGCTGAGGCGGGTGGATCATGAGGTCAGGAGATCGAGAACATCCTGGCTAATACAGTGAAACCCCGTCTCTACTACAAATACAAAAAATTAGCCAGGCGTGGTGGCAGGCGCCTGTAGTCCCAGCTACTCGGGAGGCTGAGGCAGGAGAATGGCGTGAACCCGGGAGGCGGAGCTTGCAGTGAGCCGAGATGGCGCCACTGCACTCCGGCCTGGGTGACAGAGCAAGACTCTGTCTCTAAATAAATAAATAAATAAGTATATAAATAAATAGAATTGTGATTTTTCTGATCCCCTAAACGTCTTGGATTGAAAATTTAGAACAAAAGAAATCATTTTTCCTGGGTAAATAGCATTGAGCTTAGGATTATTCTGTTTCAGAATTTCAGCTGACATTTGGCTGGTGATTTCAGGTGACTCCTAGTTGGCTGGTCTCATGGTCCATGGAGGGTGATGAAGAGATTTATGACCTTGCTGCTTTTCAAATGGGGGCACCCTGGACAGTCACCCTACTGGCTGTGGTCTCAATCCGGTTCTAAAGTCCTTGAGGAGAGAAGTAAACCCAGGGTGCTCCAGAAACAGACCTGGTGGCTTCATTTGTTAAAATCCTGCGTGTCACGTCTCAAATCCGTGATTCTTTTGCCCAAAGACGAAGACATAGCCTAAGGCAGCCTTGAAAAATGAGTGTGCTTTCTCCTCAGAGTCCTTCTTTTCCATTTCCAGATGTTCCTATTTGGAAATCTTTCATAGCTTTCATATGTAGAGCACAAGAATACCCTATGGGGCAAGTGGTCATTAGCAAGTTGTGTACTTTTATTTCCATGTAAGGGGAAGTCAGTCTCTTTCAGAGGAGTAGGACAGTAATATTCATCTTCAGTTTTGCCTGCCTTTCATCTTCTGATAACAGAATCCCTCTTTCTTGAGGGGAACCTATTCTGAGTAGTTCATGGTATTCATCCTTCCTATCCATCATAGGCAAGGCATACAACCCAGGCTTGGCCAGTTAGAGGACAGCTTTCTCCGTAACCATAATGATTGGCTCAGAGTTTGACCAATTAGAGCATTTGCTCAGACTTCTGCTAGAACTTTTGGGAATATGGCATTCTCTCCCCTCTAAGATTCCTAGTTGTAAAGACGAGGTTAGCCAAGAGTTGTGCCACATATGTGTCGCTATTTAGCAAAAGCTGACCTTACAGAAGTAAAGTAAAGCAGAGTGTCCACTGATGGAACCCTTTTTTTAAAATCCTGATGATGTCATTTGGGCCTTCATGACAGGCACTGCTGTCCTGAAGTTCCCTGTGTGCCAAAAAATAATCCTCCTTTTTCTGTGCGTCTTTTATAGCTATCTTGAAGAATAATTGACATACTATTGTCTGCATATATGTAAAGTATACTATTTGATAAATTTTAACATTTGTGTACACTTATCAAGAAGCCATTGCCATAATCACAATCATAAACTTCCATGTATGGTTTTTAAAAACTAGTTTGATTTGTGCACCCATGGTCACAGCAACATTATTCACAGTACCAAAAGGTGGAAGAACCCAAGTGTTCATTGATGGATGCATGGATAAAGAAAATGTGGTCTACATGTACAGTAGAATATTATTCAGCTGTGAAAAACAAAAAAATTCGGACACTTTCTATAACATGGATGAACCTTGACATTATGCCAAGTGAAATAAGTCAGCCACAAAAGGGCAAACAGTGCATAATTCCACTTATATGAAGTACCTAGGGAAGTCAAATCCACAGGTCCTGAAAGTAGAATGGTGGTTTGGAGGCTGTCAGGGGCTGGGGAGAAGGAGGAATGGTACATTATTTTCCATGGGTACAGAGTTTCAGTTTTGCAAGATAAGAAGAGTGCTGTGGATGGAGAGTAGTGATGGTTGCACAACAATGTGAACGTACCTAATGCCACTGAACTGTGCACTTACACATGGTTAAGACAGTGTTATGGACTGAACTGTGTCTCTCCAACATTCATGTATTGAAGCCCCAACCCTCAGTGTGACTACATATAGAGACAGGGCCCTGTAGGAGGCAAGTAAGGTTAAATGAGGTCAGAAGAGTACCAGAGCTCTCTCCATGCACACAGAGAGGAAAGACAGAGTGAGGACACAGCGAGAAGGTGGCCACCTACAAGCCAGGAAGAGAGCCCTCACCAGACACTAACACTGCTAACACCGTCATCTTAGACTTGCAGCTTCTGCAACTGTGAGAAAGTACATCTGTGTTGTTTTAGCCAACAAGCCTGTATTATATTGGTGTAAATGTAATTGTGGTTTTTGCCATTAAAAGTAATATTTTATTCTGGCAGCCCAAGCTGTCTACTACAGACAGAAAATTTTATGTTCTGTGTATTTTACCACTGTTAAAAAAAAAAAATCTAGTTTGACTTGGTTTTCTATTGTCTATGACCTGAAGACTCCTCACTAATGTGGCAACCAATTTAAATTTCATCAGTCATATCAAGAATCCCACGTGGCATCTGTGTTAATTGGAATAATATTTCCATTTTTTTTTTCTATGAGGCCTTGCTGCTTTTCAAATGGGGGCACCCTGCACAGTCACCTGACTGGCTGGGCTCTCAATCCGGTTCTAAAGTCCTTGAGGAGAGAAGTAAACCCAGGGTGCTCCACAAACAGACCTGGTGGCTTCATTTGTTAAAATCCTGTGTGTCACATCTCAAATCCATGATTCTTTTGCCCAGAGATGGCTTCCCAGAAGACATAGCCTAAGGCAGCCTTGAAAAATGAGTGCTCTTTCTCCTCAGAGTCCTTCTTTTCCATTTCCAGATGTTCCTATTTGGAAATCTTCCCTTATCTGCCTCCTTAAGTGCCAACACTCAGGAAGAGCCTGGCCCCACTGCTAGCCCCAGGCTTTCTGCTAAAGGGATTTCACAGTATCAAGACTAACACCTCATCCTATTAGATTGCAGAAATCCTTTCAAGGCAAGTTGGGGCTTATTTGTAACTTATCTGAGAAAAACATCACAGAGTGTATTTGTAGCTAAGGATCCTTGCGCAAGAAGGTATTAGATGAAATAACTTATTAGTTTTCTTCCTTCCCAGGATTCTCTAAAGAATGAAAGACTCCGCTACACCTACTCATTGGAGGTTTTGCTCTAGACGGTTTCCCCAGAGCCTCTGACACTGCAGACATTTGCACACCTGTCTGAGGCAGATGTGCACTGGTAGTGGCAAAAAATAATAAATTCTGCTTACTGAGAAGTATACATGCAGACACTGTAAAAAGCATCATACTTGGGTTATTTTATTTATGCCTAATAGTGATGCTGTGAAGTAGATATTATCAACCCCATTTTACAGATGAAGAAACTGAGGCTGACAAAGTCAAGCTACTTGCCTAGATTTATCCACTTAGTTGGCAGTTTCAGGATTTGAACCGAGATCCATTTGCCTCAGAACCCTGTACCATTGCTCTAGGATACACTGACCCCAGTCAGAATGTCAACTTCCCTAAAATGACATTGATTTGGGTATTACCACACCTTAGTGCTGCCTTTATGAATTTTGGCTGGTCCATTCCTTCCTGAACATTTGTGGTGATATCATAAGGAGATAATATTGATTTTCTGAACATTTCACATGGGCCAGTCACCAGGTCCTGTTCTTAATTTATCTCTAAATCTTATTATACCACTCTGCAAAAAGGTATTGTTTTCCTCATTATTCAGATAATGGAGACTGAGCATCAGAGAGGGTAGAGGGTTTGCCCAAGGTCACACAGCCAATAAGGAATGGAGTGAATTCCAGCCACATCTGTCTGACTTCACAGCTCAGGAATGCGTACTAGGCAGTGCGGCCCTTCCCTGAGAGTCGCTGCATTCAAGGGACGCTGGCATTTTCATGGCAGGTTCAGACAACAGAATCTTACCTATTTTACAGTCATTTACAAAGCAATTTCACCGTCACCTGGCTATGTATCAGAAGTTAAATTTAAAAAAATAAATTCTTGGCTCTCATCTCTAAAGAATTTGATTCAGTACTGAATTAACCAATTTTGCATAAATGGAAAATTCAGGTTAGAAAACAGAATCTAGGATGAGATGTATGTATACTTTAGGATCAGATTTTTGCCTTTGTGGTCTGTTTGCTTTTCTGAATCATATTCTAGAAGTGAAATTGTTGGTCATAGGGTAAGAATATGTGAGTGGGGTGTGTGTGTGTGTGTGTGTGTGTGTGTGTGTGTGTGTGTGTGTGTGTTACGGACTACAATGTGTTCCTTCCCACCCTCAAATTCCTATGGTAAAGCCCTAACCCCCAGCATGACTGTATTTGAAGAAGGGGCCTTTGAAAAAATAATTAAGGGGCTAGGCACGGTGGCTCACACCTGTAATCCTAGCACTTTGGGAGGCCAAGATGTGCAGATCACGAGGTTAAGAGATTGAAACCATCCTGGCCAACATGGTGAAACCCCATCTCTACTAAAAATACAAAAAACAAACAAAAAAATTAGCTGAGCATGGTGACGTGTGCCTGTAGTCCCAGCTACTTGAGAGGCTGAGGCAGGAGAATCGCTTGAAACCGGGAGGTGGAGGTTGCAGTGAGCCAAGATCGCACCACTGCACTCCAACCTGGTGACAGAGCAAGACTCCATCTCAAAATAAATAAATAAATAAATAAATAAAAGAAAAGAAAAAATAATTAAGGTTAAGTAAGATCATAAGGTTCAGGCCATAGTCCAATATGACTAGTGTCCTTATAAGAAATGGAACAGACACCAGGCGTGGGTGTGCATAGAAGAAAGACCACGTGAAGAGGCAGCAAAAGGGTTGCCATCTGAAAGCCAAGGAGAGAAGCCTTAGAAACCAGACTTGCAGACAGCTTGATCTTGGACTTCTAGCCTCCAGAACCATAAAAAATAAATTTTTGTTGTTTAACCCACTTAGTCTGGGTTATTTTTTATGATATCTCTAGCAAACTAAAATAGTATATAATTTATTTTTTGGCCCAAATTGCCTTTCATAAATTTTGGGCCAATTTGTGCTCTTTCAGGAGGGTCTAAGAGGGTCTATTTATCTCCTATACTGCTTACTATAAGGTTTTTAAAATTTTCACCAAAATAAAAAGTGTATTGTTATGTTAGCTTACATTATTTTCCCCCTATTGAAGGGGAAATATTTTCATAGTTGCATTGGCTACTTTTATTTCTTTTCTAAGTCTTTTGCTTTTTTTTCTTCTTGAGACAGAGTCTCACTCTGTTGCTGAGGCTGGTGTGCAGTGTCATGATTTCGGCTCATTGCAACCTCCCCCTCCTGGATTCAAGTGATACTCTTGCCTCAGCCTCCTGAGTAGCTGGGACTACAGGCATGCACCACCACACCTGGCTAATTTCTGTATTTTTAGTAGAGATGGTGTTTCTCCATGTTGGCCAGACTGTTCTCAAACTCCTGGCCTCAAGTTATCTGCTCATCTTGGCCTCCCAAAGTGCTGAAATTACAGGGGTGAGCCACTGTGCCCAGCCTCTTTATATCAGAGAGCTTGTCTTTTTCTTTATTGGTAGAAGCTCTTTATATATCAAATATATCATTTACATATAAAAAAATCAAAGATATTATCCTTTATCTTTCCAAAGTATAGTTGATATTTTCTCCAGGTTATTACTTATGTTTTCATTTGGTTTAAATTAAATATTACTGAGTTTATTAATTTCTCCTTTTCTGGTTTCTCTTTTTGAAATGATAAACATATGGTTTTTTTGTTTGTTTTTTGTTTTTTGAGATGGAGTTTCGCTGTTGTTGCCCAGGCTGGAGTGCAATGGCATGATCTCGGCTCACTGCAACCTCCACACCCCCAGGTTCAAGCAATTCTCCTGCCTTAGCCTATAGCTGGGATTACAGGTGTTAGCTAATTTTTTGTATTTTTAGTAGAGACAGGGTTTCACTATTTTGGTCAGGCTGGTCTCGAACTCCTGACCTCAGGTGATCCACCTGCCTCGGCCTCCCGAAGTGCTGGGATTACAGGCGTGAGCCACCGCGCCCAGCCAAACATATGTATTTTTATCTACTTTTTTTGTTCTGGACTATATTTAGGGGTAAGATATAAGGTAGTTATCTTCCCTCAACCAATGATGAACCAGTTGTGCCAATACCTTTATTTAATATTTATCCTTTTCCCCAGTTTTAAAATACCTTCTTCATTATATGCTAAAATGTTATGATATGCGTGGGTCTATTTTTGGCCTTTCAATTCTGTTCTTTTGGTCTGTCTATTTTGTTTAAATTACACATGAGCTATTGTTTTTCCTCCAGTACAATATGTATTGCTTCTAAATGCTACATAAATAAGAAAATGAGCCTCTAGATTTCAATATTTGCCAAGATTCAAATGATTTTCTTTATTTGCTCTGTGTCTTTTTCCCTAATGTAAGCAGATAAGGAGAGGACTCACTTTTTTCTTTGATGTACTCTAATGATGATAAGACTTTAACCTTCTTGGTATTCAGGATTTTAATTCTCTGGTATTTACTGAAATGTCATTAATCGTTTTGATCACAATAAACTCATTTTATAGTAATGTGGATGTCCTAAGAATTTAGATAGCACTTCCATTTTAATTTGCCAATAATTAACTTTACCATTATTTTACAGTGTTATCAGTGCTGAGAACAGAACCTTGCAGATGAACTTTAAGAAAACACCATGCCTTTGGTGGTGGTAGGGGGGTGCTGTCTAAGGGAGAAACTGTAACAGAATACAGATGTTTCCTATTGGTCTTAATGCAGCTGTGGGATGCACATTCCAGGTTAGGCTGATGCTGCCCATGGATGGAGAAATAAAAATGACCTGAATGTTTCTTGTGTGTGTAGCCAGTCTTCCTTCTTTCCCCATAAGTCATTCAGCAACCAAAGATCTCACCCAAACTTTGTGAATGGTTAATGTAATTATGTGGGGAGAGGGACAGAGAAAGACTTTAGAATTTGAGAGAGGAGAGCAACAAAGTGGCCTCAGGAGTTTCAGGGATAGTGGGTAAGGAAATGGCTATTGTCCTTGCTGAAAGTGTAGGTCCAAAAACTCACATGAGAGAAAGATCAAAATGGGACTTAATGGTGGCTTCTGTGGTACAGGGCTAGGCTGCTCACACAGCATGAGCCAACTCCTAGTATGACTGATGTCTGTCTTTTTTACCTGGGTTCAATGTCAGTTTTGACATTTATTACCTAGTGGCCTTGGGCAAGTCTCTTCACTGCTCTGAGCCTCAGTGTCTTCAATTGTGAAACAGAAATAATCATACCTCTCTTAGATAATTGAGGAGGTCAAGCAAGTATTTAAGCTGACCTGCAGCAGAGTGGCTGGAGCAGTAAATCCCTTTAAAATCATATCTTCATCATGGAGATGACTATTATAACCTTGTGGTAAGGGACCCATGGTACAATTGAGGGGGTGAGAGAATTAAGCCATAAAGATCAGGCATTGAGTCTTAACTCTGCCCTTTATTAACTGTGTGACCTGGAAAATAACATTATACAATCTTTCTGGGATAGAGTCTCCTGATAGGTAAAATGGAGACTAGTAATCCCACAGCAATCTGTGTCTCAGAGTTTTTGTGAGAATAAATTACCTAATGGTTGGGAAAGAGCTTTGAAAACCCTCTAGGTGTTATTTGCCTTTCAAATGTGGGATATTATTATCCCTTAGAGACCTCTTAGCAAGCTGTGAAACCCTGTAGATGTTGCTAGCCTTGACTCTGACATTATCTGATGGAAGAATTCTCATGGTCCCAGCAAAGAACAAGGAATAGTAGGGGGAAAGTTAATGTGAGCAAGATTTTTACTCATTTAGGAAGAACTTTCAAACAACTGGGGATATGTGATAGAATTCATTTGGGAAAATTTTCCAAATAGCCTGAGCTGCCTAGTGAGATGCTGAGCCCTCTGAAGTTGATGGCATTCTAGCATAAAGAGGAGAGATGGTTATCTGTCAGGAATGCTACAGAATGAAAGTTAGCATTGATGAGGAATTTATTCACTGAATAAACATTTAGTATTTTGTCCCCAGAATTTACCACATGCCAGACTTTGTAATTGATAGCAAAGTTGAAAAAGATTTGATCCCAGAATGAGATAAAATCCTTGATTTTTACAGAAATGGCCCCAGCCATCTTTCTTTCTTTTACTTTTTTTTTTTTTTTAAGTAAAGTATTGAGGAGTTTGCAAAGTCAAGGAAGGACTGAACATCCAAGGGAAGAGAGGAACAGGAACAGGTCAATGGATAATGGAAGTAGGAAAAAATGCACTCTGCTGGAAGAATGATTCAGTTTCAAACTCTTTTGATATTCTGTTAATTCCCTTAAGTTTAAAATCTCCTGAAGAAAGAATCTGACCTGATTTTACTTGCCTACCAGAGGAAGAATGTGTATGACGAAAATCTTTATCAACCACCCACATGGAATGAGGTGCCAGCATGGTTCGCCATGAAGTGAGTGTTGTTATAGAAAAAAAATAGAGAGAGAGAGAGAGAGAAGAGAAAGAAAAGGAAAAAGAAAAGAAAAGAAAAGAGAAAAGACAAATGTGTATTACATTTCCTGCCCTCAGAGTCCAGAACAGTGGAGGAGACAGACCAATAAACAAAGACATTGCAGAGCTGTGGGGACACATGTGGAGGGCATCAATTCACCCAGCCTTGGGCTTCAGGAGAGGGAGAGGTGAGCTGAATTTTATTTCAAGGGAAGAAGAGGAGGTAGTTAGCTGAAGATGTTGGTGAGGAGAGAAAAGTTTCTCTTAGTCACCTTCTGACTGTAAGATCCCACTATTCTGAGCATAGAGGCCCCAGAGCTCCCTTTGCTTTGTGATGCTTTCCATTTTCTATGCTTTTGCTTTTTTTCCCCCACTAGATCATAAACTCCCAAATGTGAGGGCCTGTCTTACATTCCTTGGATCAACCCTCCTGATGTGAGAACGTATGGTTATTGGACTGAACACATGTAATTACAGAGCCCTGGAATTAGTTGTACCCTCTTCATCCCACAGTTGAAAAAATAGGAGCCCAGTTGGCCCAAGTAACTTGCTCAAGGCTCCACAGCTGGTTCAAAGAATGGAAGTCAAGTGAATGGTTGAAAAAATCTTTCTTCTCATTTTAAAATAAGTGTTTGGCATATATACTTGACCAGATTATACATTTATCCATAACTTATTATATGTTCATGTAGTAATCATATTTATATCAAGATGTAATATGTTGCATTCCCTGGCTGGGCTTTGTGTGGTGCTGGATGAATGGGGAGGTGGGAAGGGGGAATTGATCATAGAGTCTCAGAAATATATAAGGGGAATTGATCTTATTATAGAATTGTGAATGCCTAAGGGGGTAGAAAGAAACCATAAATGTGCGAACCAGATGCATTCAAGGTCCAAGACAAAGGGGAGTGATTGGGACTGTGAAGAACCAGACAATGCATGCACGTTCAAGGAAAGAAGACTACTTGGCTCATGCCCATTATTGTTCCATGAAAGAATGTGAATTCAATGTTGCCAAGAGCCTCTAATTTTAAAGAGAAGATAAAAATCTACATGCATATATAGAATCTTGTGAGTTTAAAAAAATATTGGCAACAAATTAAAAATTGCTTTAAATACAGTACAGTGGTATAATCTTTAAAAATCTAACTTTGTTGTCTCTTTGGTTTAAAGGTTTCTCTTACTGTTCTGTCACTAAGGTGTAAGTCTTTTTTTTTTTTTTTTTTTTTTTTTTTCAGAAAGAGTCTCATCCTGTCGCCCAGGCTGGAGTGCAGTGGCTTGATCTTGGCTCACTGCACCCTCCGCCTCCCAGGTTCGAGCGATTCTCCTGCCTCAGCCTCCCGAGTAGCTGGCATTACAGCCACCCACCACCACATCCAGCTAATTTTTGTATTTTTAGTAGAGACGAGGTTTCAACATGTTGGCCAGGCTGGTCTCGAACTCCTGACCTTGTGATCTGCCCACCTTGGCCTCCCAAGTGTTGGGATTACAGGCGTAAGCCACCGCGCCTGGCCGAGGTGTGAGTCTTAATGGAGAAAGAATTCGATATAGAGGAATTTGCTTCCAGTGAGGAAGAAGTAGATGAGGAAATGTGATGGCAGGATTCTTACTAATCTCTCATTCTACCTCCTGCCACATAGCCATATCTTGACAAGGGGTAGAGAAACTAATAATGGAGATATCCATACAGGTATTAGGGGACCTAACAACACAGAAAGCTGGAGACTACTTCTCTAGGCATTGCTTGGAAGAGTAACTACAAGGCTCTAGAGAATGTTCTGCATTTGGCTTGGCACCTTGTTCCTTAGGAGAGCATAATATATGTGTGTATAGACATGTCTGGAATAATAGGTCTGAGTGATATTTCTGTTTCCCTAGTGCCTGTTCAGGGAGACATTAGGATATCCCAGGGAGGGAATGCAGAGGTGCCGAGCCCAGGTCACTGGAAGCAACATGGTATCAGTGGTTGCAGAGTACAGGGACTATGTCTAGGACCAAAGATTTCAGCTATGGAAGGAGCACACTATTCCAAGGACCCAGAGAGATCTGCTGCATCTTAGCAGACACTGTACAGAGCTTAAGGCCTCAACCAGCCCTGTGATTTGATAAAAGAAAAACATCAGCCAAATTAAATTTAAAGGAGTTTAATTGAGCAATGAACAATTTGTGAATTGGGCAGCCTGCAGAATCACAACAGATTCACAGAGACTCCAGCACAGCCACATGGTAGAAGAAGATTTATAGACAAAAAAAAGGGAAATGATATATAGAAATCGTAAGTGAGGTACAGAATGGCTGGATTGGTTACGGCTCAGCGTTTCCTTATTTGAGCACAGTTTGAACAC